>NC_000002.12:16297634-16449149 GCF_000001405.40 Homo sapiens | reverse complement strand
GAACCAATTGTTCACGGGTGAGCAGAGAACAAAATTTCAATTCATCCCCGATAAGGGGACTTGGAGAGACTGAGGCACACGTATGACACAGTCAGCCGGAGCTGTCCAGTTGGTTCTAAGTGTGGGTCTGGAGCTCAGGGGAGAAATCTGGGTTGAAGCTAAGATGGAGAAATTATCAGCTTCTGTCTTGTAACTGAAGCTATGAGAGGAGAAGAGCACACAGAGGTTGTTCAGACTGAAAAAAGAAAAAGCAGTAATTCAGACAGGCAGAGTAGAAAAAAAAGGGGGATGAGTTCATGTCCTTTGTAGGGACATGGATGAAGCTGGAAACCATCATTCTCAGCAAACTATCGCAAGGACAAAAAACCAAACACCGCATGTTCTCACTCATAGGTGGGAATTGAACAATGAGAACACCTGGACGCAGGAAGGGGAACATCACACACTGGGGCCTGTCGTGGGGTTGGGGGAGTGGGGAGGGATAGCATTAGGAGAAATACCTAATGTAAGTGATGAGTTAATGGGTGCAGCACACCAACATGGCACAGGTATACATATGTAATAAACCTGCACGTTGTGCACATGTACCCTAGAACTTAGGGTATAATAATAAAAAAAATGGGTAACCTGGGAAGGAGCATGAGTCACAGCTAGATCAGAAGAGCCCCCTTCACTTGGTCCAATCCTGGCTTGGAGAGACTATTGAAAGCAAACCTGCTTCCTCTGCTCAGCCTGCTGGCAGCTTTCTTTAGACCCAAGGGGGCAAGATCAGTTACTGCTCAGCTTCGAAGTGGGTGCAGGTCTGGCTTGTGGTCTCACTCCCCCTGCAGTCACATTCGATATTGGGGCCTTGTTATCAATTAGCTCTGATGCTCCAAAAATATTGAATAAAAATGATTCCTACTCCTCTCACCTACTTCTTCCCCGACCCTTCACAAAAATGCCAATGCAACAACTCTCTTTTAATTACATTGTTTGTTGGGATTTTGGTATGCACACCAATATCATCAATTTTTACAGTCCCCCCAAAATAGCCCGACTCTTCCGCCAGCTTCTCTCCTCATCACCCTCTATTGAAGGCTTCTGGGGTTTTTTGTTTTTTGTTTTTTTTTCTCTTTCCCACCATGGCATTTCCTTTCAATCCATCACTTACAGGCTACATAATCTTTGGCAACTTCTAAGCGTCAATTTCCTCCTCCATAAAATGAAGACAATAATAATAATTTGATGATTAACCTCAACTAAAATTAACCAGAAAGGTGCCCATAAGCAATAGAAAAGCAGTAATTCTTTCTCCTTTGTGTCTTCCCCCCTTTTCTCTTCCCTTTTCTGCCATTTTCCTTCTTTCCCTCCTTCCCTTCTGTCCCCCTCCCTTCCTTCCTTCTTCAATATAAACATCACTTAAAAGCTACCAATAGGGCCGGGCGCGGTGGCTCACGCCTGTAATCCCAGCACTTTGGGAGGCCGAGGTGGGCGGATCACGAGGTCAGGAGATCGAGACCATCCCGGCTAAAACGGTGAAACCCCGTCTCTACTAAAAATACAAAAAATTAGCCGGGCGTGGTGGCGGGCGCCTGTAGTCCCAGCTACTCGGGAGGCTGAGGCAGGAGAATGGCGTGAACCCGGGAGGCGGAGCTTGCAGTGAGCCGAGATCCCGCCACTGCACTCCAGCCTGGGCGACAGAGCGAGACTCCGTCTCAAAAAAAAAAAAAAAAAAAAAAAAAAGCTACCAATAAGCTATTAGCTATAGAAGATAAACTGAAAAGACAAATGACCTCTGTCCTCCTGGAGGTCAGTCTTTAGTGTAAAGGGAAAGTTAGGGTCAGTTATTCGACCAGGATGATTATAACATTAGGAAAGGGGGCAGTGGAATGGCTGGTAACTGCTAATTCTGCCTATAAACATCAAGGAGGGCTGGAAGGAGGAAGTGTGCTTTGAGCTTAACCTTGAAAGCTGAAGAAGAGGGTCTTGCAGGCTCGGGAGGTATCATCAGTGAAGGCCAGGGAGGCATGAAGATGGATGAAGACGGAAACTGGGCCCTAAAGTCTATATAATCAGTGACTTATTTGTTTATTAGAATGTCTATTCTTTGAGGGAAAGACTGGGAACAGTATCAAGAAACATTTGGATCACTTTTCCTAGCACAAGCATGTCTGTTTGTTTCATTTCTAACAGAAATTAAAATAGAAATTGAGGTTTGTGCTGTTGACTCTGTGACATCATGTCACAATTTGAGGAAAAAACATATTATTAATACTGTCTTTTTGAAGGGGTTGATATGCCTTGTGTCCCTCCAAATTTTAAATTTAAAGTGTCAGTTGAGTCTTAATATATTAAATGTCACCTTGGCAAAAATTCAACATAAGCAGCTCTCTACTAAATCTCATACTTGCCCCAAAGCAACCCTTCCAAAACAACAACAAACGAAAGCACTTTTGTTCATAGATATCTGCTCTTTAATGCTTGCAACAACTGTATTAGTCAGTTATCACACTGCTATAAAGATACTACCTGAGGCCCGGCAAGGTGGTTCACACCTGTAATCCCAGCACTTTGGGAGGCCAAGGTGGATGGATCACTTGAGGTCAGGAGTTTGAGACCAGCCTGACCAACATGGTGAAACCTCATTTCTACTAAAAATACAAAATCAGCTGGGCATGATGGTGCATGCCTGTAATCCCAGCTACTTGAGAGGCTGAGGCAGGAGAATCACTCGAACTGGGGAGGCAGAGGTTGCAGTGAGCCGAGGTCACACCATTGCACTCCTGCCTGGGCAACAAGAGTAAAACTCTGTCTCAAAAAAAAAAAAAAAAAAAAAAATTCTACCTGAGACTGGGTAATTTATGAAGGGAAGAGGTTTGATTGACTCACAGTTCCACATGGCCGGGGAGGCCTCAGGAATCTTACAATCATGGTGGCCAGCAAAAGGGAAGCAGACACTTTCTTTACCAGGAGGCAGGAGAGAGAGAGAAGGCTGAAGCGCCAGACACTTATCAAATAACCACGTCTTCTGGGAGTTCGTTATGACAAGAGCAGCAAGGAAGAAACCTGCCCCCATAATCCAATCACCTCCCACCAGGTCCCTCCCTTGACATGTGAGGATTACAATTCGAGATGAGATTTGGATGGGGACACAGAGCCAGACCATATCAACAACCCTACAAGTCCTCATAATTATCATTATCTCCACTGTATAGATAAGGAAACTGAGGCTGAGAGATGATGAAGTCTCTTGCCTAAGGTGACACCAACAGTTAGAGCCAGAGCAAGATTCTAAACTCCAGAGGTCCTTCCACCATCCCACACTACCTCGAAAACGTCTCCGCTTGTTGCAACTGTCAAAAGCTTTGGTACCAAGAGCTCTCTTTCACTTTGCATGAAAATTCTGGTGACATTTTTTTCTGGTGATAAACAGGTAGTATTATTGAATAACTGTCTGTATGCAGTTTATCACCCTCACCACAAAGCACCAGTCTGGCTATGTAGGCTTTAACTGAACCCAGCAGCTACTGTATACTCTGGGCCTTGAAGCTGCCTGATTGAAGAAACTAGAGAATTTCTCTATGTGCCTGAGCTGTAATGTCTTTTACAGGTCATTTGAGTCAAGCACCTTTTCACAAATCAGAAACCTAAGGCCTGCGGTCAGGGAACAAGTCCCCTGGCCAAGGTGGTGCAGTGTTTAATGATACTAGGGAGTGATCCTGGGTCTTCTGACCTTAGTCCAGGGCTCCTTGAGATATGACTGCCTTTTTATTTTATTTTGCTTATTGCTTCTTAATTTATCAATTTTTTGATCAAGAAGCACATCATGTATATAATAGTCATCTATTGTTATATAAAAGTTATTGTAAAGTGTAGCAGCCTAGAACAATAGTAAATAATTATTATTTCTCATAATTTTTGTGGGTCAAAAATTTGGAAGCAGCTTAGCTGCATGGCTATAGGTTAGGGTCTCTCAGGAGGTGGCTTGATGAAGGCTGGAGGATCCACTTACAAGGTAGTCTCTCACCAGATGCCAAGTTATTACTAGTTGCAGGCAAGAAGCCTCAGTTCATCACCAAAAGACTTCTCCCAATGGCTGAATGTCCCCACAGCATGGAAGCTCTGGCTTCCACCAGAGCAAGGATCCAAAACAGAACCAGGTGGAAATTGCAGTGTCATTTACAACCCAGCCTCAAAGTCACAAACCATTATTTTTATGAATGTATTGTGTCAGTGACACAGGTCAGTTTTATTCCAAGTGGGAAGGGGCCATACAAGGGCATGGACCTCAGATGCAAGAATCACCAGAGCCTTCTGGGAGGCTGCCTACCCTATGATTCATGTTGCACATGCAAAACTGCTCACTCTCTGCGCAGGCCCCCAAAACCTCATCCCGTTATAGCATCAGTTATACATCCAAGAGCTCATTATCTAAATCAGATGCAGACAAGTCTCCTTAGGCCTGGTTCCTTGAATACAACCTCTCCAAATCAGTTTATCTAAAACTGAAGACACCAGTTATCTCCCTCCACACACCCAACAAACAAACAATAGTTGGGCAAGAGTAGGATGACTACTTTAGACACATGTCCTCAATAAAGGGGGAAATGGAGGCATATAGGAGTCACTGATTAAGGGCAATTCTGAAATCCAGCCAGGCTCTCGATGAAAGTTCATTAAGAATCCACTCCATTCCTACCCAAGAATTATTCTCCATGGCTCTTGACTCCATCTTCTGATCTCTTGATTCTACTGTTTTAGTCATTCTTCCTTTTCCACGAAGGCAGCATATTTTTGTAGCTGATTACTCTTTGTGGTCTGTTTCCCGTCTTCAGAAGTTTAGGTGTCCAAAGACCCCTTTCCACTTTATACTTTCTCCTTTCTATGTAAGCTTGGCAGTGTTTCTGCCCAATACAACTTGAGTCAAAACTTTGCAGGTCACTAATAAATCAGTTTCTTACCATGTGGACCTATTGATAGAGCTTCTCTGTTGACCTTGCCAGATAGCAGCTAGCTTCCCCTAGAGCAGGTGATTTAAAAGAGCAAGGAGGAAGGCACAGGTTTCAGAACTCAGTCTTATTCAGTGTTTGATGTTATACAAGGTCATGGACATCAGAAAGTAGAGATTAGGGGAGCCATTTTAGGGGATGGCTTTACATTGGGCTAGGGTTTATGAGGCAAGTTAATAATATTTAATATCTATTATGAAATAGATGTTTGTGTTCCCACCCCCAAATTTGTATGTTGAAGTGCTAACACTTAATGTGACTATATTTGGAGATAGGGCTTGTGATGAGGTGGTAAACGTTAGATGAGGTCACAAGAACCTAAAGTCAGAAGATGCATTAGTCTGATAGGGCTGGTGCCCTTATAAGAGGAGGAAGATACAAGATGGGCTCACTATCTCTCTCTCTTGCACTCTTCACCATGTGAGGACACAAAGAAAAGGTGGATGCCTGCAAGCCTGAAAGAGAGCCTTCACTAGGAAACGAACTGGCTGGCACTTTGATCTTGGATTTTTCAGCACCAGAACTATGAGAAAATTAATTTTCATTGTTTAACCACCCAGTCTGTGGTACTTTGTTATGGCAGACTGAGTTAGTGGAATATGATGTCTTTTTATTGCATTATCTGTATAACTTTTGAATGCCCCAAGCTTTCCAAGATCACTCCAATATGCTGTTAATTTTATTCTTTTTGATAAAAATTAATTAATTAACTAAAAATAATGTATTGTTGTACTCTTTAAGAGTACACACTAAGAGTGACATCATAAATCAAAGAGTCTTTTGCCAACCATGGGTCCTGATTTTTATTCCAGAAGAGAAGATCACCGCCATTTATATATGTCCTTTCCAATCAGAAAGCAACCTATCCAACTGAACCATGGAGTTATGTTACAGGAAGTACAGTATTACTCCAGTAGATCTGAAGCTCTCCCTAGGCAGAGCTGCCACTCATCACTGCATAGCTTATGCACTGTTCAACCCTAGGGGGCTCCATTTAATTAGGGTGTATCTGAATATCACCTGGTAGAGTTTATACAAGTGACATCTTCTAAATTTGAGCAGAGCACTACCTGCATAACCATATGCAGAGGTCTTAAACCCAATATGAGAACCTGTGCTTGCTTTCAGTAAAGCCAACCAGATAACACTGCTCAGCCTTGAGCCTTACCAGCTGCAGGCAGCTTTTATCTTCAGAAGAAAATGTCATCTCTCCATTCAATTCTCCACAGATGAGGCCACTAAGCTATAGTTAGAGAGAAGACTTCAGGGTTCTCCTACCCACCTAATTCTAGCTAGAGCTAGAAAGATCTGTCTTCTGAAGCAGCTAAGACTGACTTTTTGGAGCACTGGCCGATCTCTTGTTTTGCTGGTAGAGTTGCTGAAAGACTTACAGTTGAGCCTGAGCACAAGAATTTGCCAGCTATGGGGGCTCCCCTTTCATGCTCTTAACTTCTTCCTCCTACAGGTCCATCTGTCTTTCATTACCTAGAGGTCCACAACACTCTTTATTCACACAATCTCTGAAAAAGATGCAGAGGAACTTGCACGCCCCTGGAGATGAGTAACTGATTAAGGGGAAGAGAGGAAGAGTATACAAGAGAACTCAAAGAGAAGAGAGAAAGGGACAGCTTTCTGGTGTGGGGTGGGGAATAAACTTTTACACCCCATCTTGGTGATGACAGAATGTACCTAAGATGCAGACAGTCCCTCCGCAATTGCTTCTCCCTGTGTGAATTTCACTTCAAATATCTTTGTTCTTGGACCCACAAAATATGTTAATCTCCTAAATGCATCTCAATATTGCTAAGTGCCACCTCCCTTTCCCATATTTACCAATTATTTCTGACAGTGTTTGCCATTTCAACATATGTCTGGAGCTCTCTGAATCACTGAGAGAGTGTTGAGGCTAAGGGTGGAAAACATTTTTATCTTGCAGCCCAATTGTGAATGAATGGTAGTGGTTCCCTGGAGTGCTACTTTGACCAGAACCCAGATGCTTCAGCTAGGAAGGCTGTTTTCCAGATTCTAAAACAATGTGCATTTCTTAACCCTTAGCAGAACTGCGTTGGTGGTGAGGCAGTCCTGTTTAAATCCAATAATGGTCATTTCAGGAGTGCCCTGAAACTTCTCAGTGGGAGAAATGCCATGGTTTATGAGGAATTGAGCCAGTGACGATCTACAGCGAAGGAAGGCATTTGTCTGAGCTACCGTAGTACTCAGAACTGTGTGGAGCTGCTGGAGTGGAGAGTGCAATGATAGGACATAATCCCTGACCCTCAAGGAGCTCTTAGTCCAATAGGATAGATAGCTATGTTAACATACAGTGATGACAGAGTCATAAGAGCTATGGTGCAGTAGGCACACAGAAAAGAATGTGATCAGTTCTTCCTGTGGTCTAGGAACTGAGTCATGTGAGTGACATGGAGCAAGGTTTTGAAGGACAGGAAGGATTTTGTATTCGAGAAGGAAAGGGAAGGGTATCTGGCACATTCGAGCAAAGGTCTAGAAACAAACAGGGCAATGGCATGGCGTACAATTGGAATGTTAGTGGCATGTCAGGGAGTGGTGGGAGCTTAAGCTTGGGGCCAGACTATGCAAGGCCTGGTTTAACAGGCTAGGAAGTGGTGAGTCAATGAAGGATATTTCAACAACAGCAGTGATTGGATCACATTCTTGCTTTAAAAAAAAAGTAACTGCAGAATGGAGATTGGGAGAAGATGTCAGTCTGGAAGCAGGGAGGAAGGTTTTAGGAAGCTGTCAGGGTAATCTGGGCACTAAATGATGAAGAATGAAAAGCCACAGAAGTTGAAGCAGAGAGGAGGCAACAGGTAGAATATTTAGGGGGTGCACTCCAGAGAACAATTTGGTGAACTAGAAAGAGGTGTGTCAAATGGTGATGAGGAAGCAAGAGAACTCCAGGATAACTCTGACTAGGAGTTCGATTCTCTGAAGGAAGGAAGAGAGGAAAGGTGGAGTACACTGCAGGCTTGGCCCCGACAGAAGCAGGGGATGTGGAAGGAAATGCCATCCCCTGCTACCACCAGGGAACGAGGTCTGCACTTGTCTGGAGTGTGAAGCTTCAGCCTTACCTCACCTGCCACTTCCTCCTCAGACTCTAAGTTACTGCCTTATGGAGAGGCTGTGTCAGGGAGTGTGGGAAGCTTCTAACAGAGTTGAGCCTTCCCCTTCCACTTTAAGGGATGATCCTACACCTAGAAATAACGTTCTAAATGCAACTGCTGAGCTATTCCAAAATTTTGTAAAAAATGAAAGGAAAGATGGAACTCTGAAAAGTCAAATAAATTTGTCTAAATAATCCTACTGATAACAATAATAAAATAATTAAAAATAATGTCTACTGACAGTTTAAGTGTCTAAACAATTAATGTTTATCTAAATCCTACTACTATCTAATAACGCACTTTTCCTTCTGCACCCCTTCCCCTCTTTCCCGGGGCCTGGCCCAAATATATATATATATTTATTTATTTACTTATTTTTTGAGACGGAGTCTCACTCTGTTGCTTGGCCGGGCTGGAGTACAGTGCCAAGATCTTGGCTCACTGCAACCTCCGACTCCCGGGTTCAAGAGGCTCTCCTGCCTCAGCCTCCCAAGTAGCTGGGACTACAGGCGTGCACTTCCACACCTGGCTAATTTTTGTGTTTTTAGTAGAGATGGGGTTTCACCATGTTGGCCTGGCTGGTCTCGAACTCCTGACCTCAGGAGATCCGCCTGCCTTAGCCTCCTAAAATGCTAGGATTATAGGCGTGAGCCCCCACGCCCGGCCAATATATATATATATATATATATAATCTGTTGTAAATGTATTGCATGTGTTATAAGCCATATATCAAATAAAAACTTAGGGAAAAAAAAAGACGTTCTGATCTTTCCCCATATCCCTAAAGCTCATTTTGCACAATCTTAGTGTGTATCTACTAAATCCAGCTGAATACTTATCTAATGGATTCGTCTAATAGAATCGAATGCAATAGATTGTGCTTAAAGGGATAAATCATATTTATATTTTTTAAAAACATGAAGTGGTTAAGATAGAGGAGACTGAAGCAATAGTGAGAAGGTGAGCAAGACCGTCTCCTGGGCCTGTTGTTCTCAGAGTGAGGGACTGTTTTAGTCTAGAGGACCAGGAGAGCCTTGCTCTGTGGTGAGGGCATGACATTGTGGTATGATAGGGCCTCGCTGGTACCCACCTTGATTGGTTGGGCAGGAAGAGGGTCTGGAGAGCCAGCCCCGAGTCACTTTTCTCCTTTCTTTGGGATGAAAGGTCGACTTCCTAGCCCCCATCATTCCATCACCACACTTAAAGTGTCTCCCTGCAAGTGAAGGTCTTGGCCAGACTGGGCAACGCTCCCCACTTGGGGTCCACACATAGGTATTTCTGCTTCTGAGTCAGAAAACCATTGCACTTTGGGATTTCGTGGAAACAGCAGGTTTGTCCAAATTCCGTACAAAAACATACCTAGGTTTCGTTTTCCTTTTTTCTTAGACCTGGTTCTCAGGTTAACACAGGTAGAGACATTTAGGTGGCAGCCTACATGTGCTCCTTTGCTTCAGATAGCCCTAGTTGAAGCCCCACACTATAAATATGTCATCTTAAAACTTTGCTTGACTCTTTGAACCTGTTTGTAAACATTAAAAAAAAATACTATTTTCCTGATGGAGTTTTTGGGGATTAAATGAGATAACAAATGTAAGCATCTATTAGAGTTCTTCAACACATAGCAGACATTCAATAGTCAACACTAGCAGCTCCTCCAGGTCGTATGTGGTGTCTCCAATGCCACACAGGCTGCCCTAGAGAGGTGACTGCCAGGTGGTAAAGGCAACATCATGAATCATGTGGGGGATAAGAAGGATTGGAGGATAAGTTTCAGTTATAAAGGCTGAATTGCTTGAACTCTAGCATTGTTGATACTGCTTGTGTGTGTTAGGGGGAGGGGACATCCATGCTTGGGGGCCGTTGGAAAGGTATACAAAGGGTGCCTCTGAAGCCACCGCAAGGCGAGGGTGCTTCAACTCTCACGCCTGGCGGTCCCTTGATAACAGTGATATTTTATCAGTGTGGGCTCAGTTTTTCCTTTGGTTAAACTTCCCCTGTACCACATTGAGCAAAGCCATTGTCCTCAAAAAGAAGAATTATGTGGTGGGGAAACCACTTCTTCAGGAGAGTTGATTGTGGCCAATTTACTCCTGGGCCCAAAGCAAAGCCAAGGGTTCTGTCCGAAGAAAGAAACAGTTCTCATGAATCATGAATTATGTTTTTGGTGTGTCAAGGGCAGTTGACTGAGGGAAGACGCCTGTTTCTTTCACTACAGGATGCCAGAGCTCATAACTCTCTCTGAAGCCACAGGGTCTGCCTGTCATGTGAGGTGATTCAGAAGCAGGGGGACTGGCTGAGCCCTGGCCTCACAGTTTGTGGCCTCGGTCTGGAGTGCCTGCAGCTTGGGTCAGCTCAAAGACTGGACTAATAAACCTTGGAGGCCAGTGGCTCCTGACCCATCAATTTCATTAACCAACTCAGAGCTGTGGGCAGCAGGGAGAAAGTCCTTATTTCTCCAATGCCTTTCATACTCTGTGCTCTGGGAGAGGGCTTAGAGTGAAGTCCTTGCTTGTTTAGATGGCATTTTCTTGAGACCTGGGGATGAGCATTTACCCTGTATGAACCCAGACACCTCCCAGTTTATAGACTTGGCCCAGAGCAGGGCCTGCCTGAGCTGGTTTTGAACTCTGAGTTAAGAGTGCATCCCTGCATCTAGCACACCACCGCTCCCAGTATGCCCAGCATTTCACTCCCTTCCCAGAGAAAAGGGCAATCCTAAAAAAATGGGACATGATATATCTTAGTGGTTGAGAGTATAATCTTACAATTCAAAATAACTAGGCTTCAATTTCTGGTCCTACCATATATAGCAGATATTTTGGCAAGAGATTTCAATTCTCTAACTCTAGGTTTCTTCATTTATGAAGGGAATAATATAAAAGGACCTAGCCAGCTCATAAAATTACAATGAACATTTTATGAGATAAATGCATGAGAAGCAGCACAATTCCTGGCACGTAGTAAGACTTGGGAAGTAAGACTCAGGAAGAGCTGGTTTCTATGTTACCCTTGCACACTGCAACTGGGACATAGAATCCCGTTCCGCATGTACTGATAGACTGAACTGTGTCCATAGGACAGGGTCCAGGCTTGGAGGATACGCTAAGTCAGGTCCCATGATTAAGAAAAGATGAGACTGACCACCCTACATGAGACTCCGGGAAACTTAAGAACAACTACTTCATTCAACTAACTGAAAAGTTCAACCTACTCAGCTATCTCCACCCTTTACCAGGAAGTTTTCTCCAACCTTCTGAACTAAATGTCTCTCGTCTGGAGTTTTTAGCTCCTGCACTTCTTTGCTTCAGTGCATCTTCTCTGGGTGCTACATCATGTTGATTCACCTATCTACCCTCTCGCCCATCCCAGCCTCTGAGTGCAGGGACCAAGTCATACATATTCATCCCCTAGCACACAGCCTGGGACATAACAGCTCAGTTTTTGAATGAATTCTGAGACACCATCGTTTCTGAATGTGTCTTACTACAAACTATACCCTACAAGTCACTCTTTAGTCCTCCTTAGGAAAACGTTTTTTTCAGTCCCATCTTTCAGTTCTGTCCTGCCCCTTTCACAGAGTGAGTCACTGAGGATGCAGGCAAATCAGATTTTTTGAAGACCAAAGTAGAATGAAAGAGTGGCAGAGAGGAGAAAGTAGCACCTTAGGTGCTTGCGAAGCAAACCACAAAGTCCCAAAGAACCATCAGGGAGCTTTGCACCTGGGCTTGCCAGGAACCACAGACTACAGTAGGCAGGAGGAAGGGAGTGGAGTGGAGGTGAAGGAAACGTGAAGCTAAAACGACTGGTTTGGTTTAATATGAAAATGGGAAACATTTAAGCCTGCAAGTCTCCTCCCAGACCTTAAATAACCAAGCAAGGGACCACAGTTTAGTTTTTTAGAGAAACTGAAATGGTGACCTGTAGCCTCAGACACCAGATATAGGAGAGGGAGGGATGAAAGGCAGTGCAGAAAACAATAGGGTTAAAGGGAAATGGATTCAGCCTTCTTCCCCAAAACTCTGGAAGCCAGATATGCGCTCCTCAAGGCAGAAAATGCAGGAGTCTTGTCTATGAGAACGAAAGAGCTCAGATACGAGGCGTCCAGATGTGGGCACCTGGGAACGCCCTAACAAATGGCCAACTCGTCTTACCCTCCCTCCGGCTGTCACCACACAGTGAAATCAAGCAACCAAGCGGCTTGGTCACACAGACACAGAGGTTTCCAGTGACCTGCTCTTAAATGAGAATGAAAGACAAGGATACTAAAAGATAATGGAGTCCTGCCTTCATCATTCTGAGACAAAAATCCCAATTCAAAGTAGAATTCTTCGTCTAGCCAAATGTCAAGGGTGTGAGTATAGAATAAAGACATCCGTAGATATCAAGGCCTTAAAAAACCCCCACATTTTCTATATTTTCTTTCTTGGGAGGTTACTGGAGAAGGTTCTCCTGGAAAAAAAAAAAAGGTATATACCAAGGGAAGAGAAGATGGAGAAGATATAGGACTCAAGAAATGGTGATCCAGCAAAGCACCAGAATGGCATTTGTGCCCGGAGACAGAAGGTAAGGTGAAACAGAAAGCCAGAGGGACCCAGGAAAGAGGTCTCTGAGATGAAAAAGAAGCAGGTGCATTATATGATAGTCTTGATATTTTAAAAGGAATGTTAATAGACATATGATACAATGACTAGAGCCTGGCAAAGACTGAGAATTGATGAACACCTGGACTGGTGAGTACAATTATTAATGCCAGATTTTTTTAAAGTTGTACAAAACAGGGAATATTATCACAGGACTTATGCCCATAATAAACAATATTTACTTAATCATAACAATGCAAAAAATTATTACTAATTTTGCCAAAATTTAAATGCTACTATTTTGGAAGGGTACATAAGGGTATGGCAAACATTCTGTAAAAGGCAAGACAGTAAATATTTTAGGTTTTGTGGGCCACATACATGCTTTGTAGCATATTTTTGTTTTTGTGTCTGTTCACAACTTTTTAAAAATGTAAAATCCATCCTGATCTAAGGAACTACAGAAAAACAGGCAGGTGGCTGGATTCAGCCTGTAGGCAGTAGTGTGCAGGCCCCAGGAATCAGGGAAAGAGTGTGTGTGGGTAGTGGTGGTGGAGGCAGAAACAAGATGCTAAATCCTCACCTGTCAGTAGAGAAATGTCATATATAATATGTAAATATATTCGTCAGAAAAAAAAATCAATATAAGTGTGTTACTTAAAGACAAAGAGCTAAATCCAACGAGAAATAGTTAAAAGACTTTTAAGGATTGCCTCTAAGACTTGAGACCCAGAGTTAGGGGAGGGAGAATGGCTCTTCATTTTGCCATCATAAGCATGCAAACACAGATTGATTTCTGTTAAACTATGTGCATGTCAATTTCAAGTAACATGGATTAAAATAACAGGAAGAGTTAGTTATAATCTGGTCTTGGCTACTATTGCCTCCAGAACATCATTCTGTCCTCCCACTGTAGACCAGCAATGTGTTTTCATGCTGCTCATCTGAGAACTCTGCTTGGTCTAAGACAATCCTGATACCTCCGACCCCTTCTAGAGATGGGAGTGTGCAGGATCCCATCCTTAAATCCATCACCTGATGCCTTTTCACTGACAACAGTTATTGGGCCAGGGTTGTGCATCTACATTAGCCCCATACAGAAGGTTGTATGGTTTGAAGAGAGGCATAGACAAGAAAGTGAACAGTCCCATTTACTACTGGCAATCATTTTAACTCAGCAAGGGCTTCAGGTTGGAACTGAGGCTGTGTTTGGTAGAGCAGAGAGATGGGTCTTCAGTGACATATTTAACCAGCTGAATAAACAAAATCTGACACCCACCCAGCTGTTATGTCCTCCTCTCGATTTAGACTTTTTTAAAGTCCCTTATTGATCTCTGCATTCCCAGTGCCTGGTATTGGCTATTCTTTTTACTGCTTTTGCATAAATGAATGACTCTACCTAGAGAAACAGAAAGGAAAAATGATAACAACAACTCTAAATAATTAAGGGTTACAAATTTAACTGCGTGTGCCCCCTGGCCCCTACCAGAGGACACCCCATTCAGCCTCAGCGCCCCCCAAGCCCCAGTTGCAGGTTGGGGCTCTTGACCTCTCTTCTTCAGCTCCCAAGTCCCCTCTGCCCTGTGACCTGGGCTAAGCAGCCCCAATGGAATGTAAAAAGAAATGTCAATTGCTCTTTTTCTGGTGTATAAATGCTACTTTCCATCAGAAATAGTTTTGGACCAAAACAAGCTTTGAAAGAGCAAAAAGCTTAGCTCAATCAAGAGCTACCTTGAAGATAGGCATTTTGGTTCCATTCCTGTTGCCATGTGCTTCATGGGAGCCTCTGACTCATTTTCTATTCATTCCCAGGCTGATCAAGAATAATGATCTTAGATTCACATCCCTGGCAAGTTTCCTTACATCCTCACAGGTCTGTCAGCTGAGTCTCCTTCTGTACTCCATGGCAATGGGAACACCCGGCTGAAATACCTCCTGAAAGAAATGACTCAAAATGGTATTTATCTTCAAAAGAGTGACTTTTTATTTGCAACCTTCAACACCAGGCAAGCTTTCAGGTAAACAGAAAGGTTTGTTCCCGGGCAGCCAGCTATGCTGAGCTGAATGTATCATTTGCTGTGTTCCTGGCACTAAAGGCAGAACTTCAAGTGAGAAGTTGATGACAGAAAGCTCTGGGAGTCCGGGGCCTGAATCTGGGGTCTTGCCTCAGAAGCTGGGAAGGCTCAGAGCTGAGAGCAGGGCCAGCTCACTCCCTGGAGAAACGATTCTGCATCTAGTGACTGCAGGAGATCTCCAAGGGGCATTTCTCACCAAGAAATCCAGTCTGGATATTGTCTCCTGAGGGCCAATAAGTGTAGCTGGGATGTGGGTGAAATAAGAGAAAGTCAAAGGAAACATTTCAGTTTGGCTTTAGAAATGTCCCTACAAACTCATGATTTGTTTTCCAAACATTTTGCTTTGAAAAACCTTTATGACCAATTCATGTTTGTTTCTGAGGTGAGCACTGAGTATTTATGATAATATGGTTTGCATGAATACCAGATGTTATGCATTGAGTGATGTCCCCCCAAATTCATAAGTTGAATCCCTAGCCCCCACAGTGACTAGGGATTTGGAGACAGGGCCTTTGAGGAGGTAATTAAGGTTAAATGAGATTATAAGGGGCAGTGAGGGGTGTAAAAAGAGAAAGAGACACCAGGGGTGTGCACACACATAGAAAAGGTCACCTGAGGACAGAGTGAGAAGGCAGCTGTCTGCAAGCCAAGGAGAGAGGCCTCACCAGAAAATAATCAACCATGCTAGTTCCCTGATCTTGGATTGCCAACCTCCAGAACTGTGAGAAAATAAATTTCTGTTGGTCAAGCCACCCAACCAGTGGTATTTTGTTATGGCAGCCTGAGTTGACCAACACGCTGGAGTTTATCATACACAGAGTTGATTCCTGTACATTATTTTAATCTGTTCCTTATAATAGTCCTGAAAGAAGGAGATTATTATTATTCTAATTTTACAAATGAGATTGCTGAAACTGAAGAGATAGACAGAGATCTTCTGATAGTAAATGCAGGCTTCTTTCAGACAGTGGTAATGATGGAAGTACTCAAACCTCCTTTATCACCCTCTCCACTTGTAAATGGCTCCTCGATTGGCTTCCCCTGGCACCTGGGCCTTCACCAGAGAGCTGCCCATTTAGATTAAGACACTGACACTCTGGAAGGCCTCTAAGAAAGGGACAATGACTTCCTTGGCTGGGCAAGTGCACAAATATACTTGGCTCCCTCTAACAGAGAAGCCTATATTAGTTAATCTGCACTCTTTACACAAGCTGAGCTCATCTTAAAGCAGAGGCCATGGCTGCTTCTGCCAGTCAAGGGCACCCAGAAAGAAGCTGTTAGAGGAGGAATTCAGTAGTGATTCAGGTGGGACAAGGCCAAGGAAAGAAAATGAGAAAGCAGCAGAGGCATCCCCATGGGTTCCAATGGGGGCCGGGGTAGAGGGGATGCTGTGGGTGTCCTTCCCAACCGGAAATGATAGGTTTCTTGAAAGTGTGTAAATAGGAATAATTCTTAGAATGTGTGAAGGTATGGCACATCGCAGGGCTTCAATTATTATTTGTTGAAGGAATGAATGATCTCTAAATTGGGTCAAATGAAAGTTTCATGTCCTTTAGAACCAAGACCTTTGTTGTTGTTTTACGTTTTCTGTTTTGTTTGTATTTGTTTTTCGTAATTTGCTGTTTACAAGATACTTTACCATGCCTGGTCTCATTTGACCCTCACAATGGCCTTGTAGTGTTTGTAGGATTAACTTTATTTTACAAGTAAGGAAAGCAAGTTCCAAGAGAAAAAACTAATTCTTCAACATCCCAGGCTCCGTGGATGGTGTAAGCAGATTTTGAATCCAGGTGCCCCATCCTTCCTCTGTGCCATGTGTCCTCCTCTCTTCCTGTGGAAGGGCCATTCCAGGAGATGGTTGTTCCCATGCTCTTGTCCTAAGAAATGACAAAATACACTTTCCTCCACTGTCCTCACAGCTTTGGAGAGAATGTCACCATGTGCTGGAGCTAAGGATGAACTGATATGCTGCCAGGAGGCTCCAGCTGTTTACCTGGGCCAGCATCTGATCCAGTTGGTCAATTCACACCAACTGTTGTCATTGCTGAATAGCTTGCATGCATCTCTTCAGGCTGGGAACTGAGTGGTGACACAGGCAGGAGAAGAAAGGCAGTCCCTGCTTTCCTGGGCTGGTAGGAATGACGTGACACTGGGGTCCTCGGCATGGTGTTCCCAGTCTTCGTAGGCTGACCCCAGTCTGCCTCATCTTCCCCACACCCCTATAGCACCACTCCACACCCTCCTTTCCGCCACACTGAGCTGGAAGAATTACGAGCAATTTACCCCGACAGGTCTTGCTCTCCCATGCCTGTGCCCTCGCACACACTTTTTCGTCTACCTGGTGGCCCTTCCTCTCCTCTCCTTCACCTAGGCAGTTTACAACCCTTTCAAAACCCAGGAAGCAGGTCTAAGTCCTGTCCTGGGTTTCCATGTCCCCTCTTGCCACATCACATCATACTCATTCTTTTTTGCCTTCTCACTCAAGTCCACACTTTTTGAAGGCAACTGACATTCATCTGCGGATTCCTAACACCTAGCACAGTGTCTACCACCCAGTAGATTAGCAGCAAATACCTGTGAAATAAGTAAATGGGCCAATATCAATGGTTGGAGACCGGTTCACGTAACCTCAGCGAGTCCCTGCCTTCATGCTGTAGGAAGCACAACACATTGTTTAAGACAAGGACTTTAGGGTCAGTGTGTGTGGGTTCAGATCCCAGCTCTGTCACTTATAAGATGTCTGATCTTAGGCAAAACACTTAACCTTTCTCTACCTCAGTTGTTTCATCTGTTAAATGCAATTGTTATTAAGTTATTAATAACATTAATGACAAAGAATCAATTCATTTAATCCTCACTTTGAATCCATGTTGGAAACTCCATAGCAACATGGAGTTCAGGTGAGGATTAAATGAGTTAATCCACTAAAGCACTTGGTGTAGCGCCTGTTACGTAAGAGCTCAAGAAACATCAGTTCTGATTATGATCTACCACCCAGATCCTGAACAACCACTGGGGAGCCTGCAGCCCCTGATCTGTCAGGGCAGATCCATGGATTCATTCTGGACAAGGGCCAAGCAAAACCCTCCATCAGCATCTTTCCAGGTGAGCAGAGAGTCCGAGACTTGCTGAGTCTCCCCACTGTGGCTACATCCCAGATCCTATCCCTGAGCTCCTCCCGGAATCTTGCTCACCTATTCTTTTTATTTTGTTTTTGTTTTCAGTAAATAGTACTGAGTGTCTGCTTTTGTGCAGCAACACGGCCTATAGTCAAGAGCCAGACAGTTGTGGTTCCTGCCTTCATGAGATGGCAGAATAACTGGAAGGAGATAAATTGAACATAATACTTGTGGTGACTCTTACAAGACTGAAGGGTGAGAATTTAGGGAAGTGGGCACCTAACTTCAGCAGTGGATACAGACAAGGCTTCTTGGAGGAAAAGCCATGAGAGTTGATTCCTCAAAAAGTTGCCAGTGATGTGGGTGGTGGAGGAGGGATGGGTGCCTTCCAGGCTGGCTTAGGAGCAAGTATGAACGTGTGAGCTATCTCTAGACATTCTCAAAAGACCCATCCAGCCAAAGATGGATGCCAGGGAGGTCAGTGAGATCCTGGGACACTTTTCAGGGCCCTGTGGATCCCTTTAAGGATTTTGAACTTTGTCTTTAAACACTTTGTCTTAAAACAAAGCCACTGGACGTTGTGGGTAAGCGAGTGGGAGGTGTTGGGATGACCTCCATGTTTCTAGTTTGGGAACTAGCAGAGTCGTGTACTATGTCTTGAAATGAACGGTTCAGAGGAAGCATCACATTTTGGAGGGCAGATGGTGAGTTTGGGATACCCAGGGGTGTACTGGTTTCCTACTACTGATGTAAAAAATTACCACAAACTAAGTGGCTTAAAACCACTCATATTGATTATTGTACAGTTTTGAAGATCAGAAGTGTGACATAGTCTTAGGCTAAAACCAAGGGGCTGGCAGAGTTGAATTCCTTCTGGAATTGAGTTGTATTCCACAGGGGCATTTGTCCCTTTTCTTCTCTATCTTCTAGGGTCTGCCCACATTCCTTGGCTCATGACCCTTCACCACTCCGACCTCTGCTTCTGTCATCACATCTCCTCTGACTCTGACCCTTTTGCCTCCCTCTTCTGTGGTTCCTTGTGATGCCCTTGGGCTCACCTGGATAATCCAGGACCATCGCCTTGTCTCAAGATCCTTAACTTAATCACATTGGCAAGGTGTCTTTTGCTATGTAAAGATAACTTATTCACAGGTTTTGAGGACTAAGACATGGACATCTTTGAGGGGAAGCGTTGGTCAGTCTATCAGGTAGAGTTAGGAGTTAATTTGATATGTAATCTGGAGCTCAGAAAAGAATGTACATTAGAGATATAATTTGGAAGTTACTGGTTTCAGTGAAATAATTGAGTCATGTTGGTAGGCAAGATAACCCAGTACAATAGCTCCAAGTAAGATAAGTGAGGTGCAAACTAAGCATTGAGGTCCTCCTTCAAGTCCATAAAGTCATGCAGAGGAAGAAAAGCAAGCAACAGGGAAGTTGATATCTCTTGGGGTTCCTTCCTCAAAGTTCTCAGGGACTTGTGTTATATCCATACCTCCAACTTCCCAGGGCCAAGTTCCTGACTGGTCATACTACAGATTCCCACAGGCTGCCTGCCAAAAGAGAGCTCCAGCAGGGACCAGAGCCCATGCAGGGATCTCACTGCACTCTGCTTTGTAGTCAATCACTTGCCTTTGCTTGTCTTTCTCCCAACCCACCAGCAGGGTTGGAGATGTCCTTCTTAGACCCCCAGGCACATCCATAGAACAATGAGTCTAAAGGTCTCCTGTTCTGACTGTCTGGGTCTCCAGCCCCGAGCAAATGCTGAGAGTCATTAGCCCAGATTTTCCAATCTGCTATGCTGCTGGCTTTTGAATCTTAGTCCTTACATGAATGTTGAAGTTTTTAGAAAAGAAAGCATGAAACAGGCATGAAACACCTGGGATCACTTTCCCAGCCCTAGAAATACCAGGACTTGAGGTGAGTGCCTCTTAGAGTTTCTAATTAATAAAATAATATTTCTTGCTGTGGGGGTGTAATACAGGAAAACCTCTTGCCCAAGAGGTGACCCAGGCAGGAAATGTAAATAATTTCGAGAGTTGTAGATATAGTCCTAGCTGACAGTCTGGCTGGAAGTCAGTGAGGCAAGGTGTGGAACATAGGGATAGTCTTAGTCTTGAAGGGGAGGTGTGGTCTGCAAGCCATGTGCTATCAATCTGCAATGAGATAAGTACATATATTGAGAGTAAGCATTCAGAAGAGTTTTCCAGAAATTGATATGGTCATGACGTCAAAGTGCATAATCATTTTTCTAGTAATTCATTTTGATTACATTTTATAAAAGTATCCATTTACAACAGAATTTTTAAGAACCTGATCCTTCCTTAGAGATCATTTGACAAACACAGGTATAGAGGATTTCCACAGCCCATCCCTCCAAATTTGACCCTTGTGCAGAGGGAGCACAGAGGTGATTTGTCCAGTGGGAGTGGGGAGCGGGGCATTTAGTAGAGATTGTGCTGATGTTACAACTCAAACCCTAAGAATTCATTTGGCTGGGGTCTAGCTTCAGCTTCATGGCACACTGATGCATGGTAGTAAATGGTGACCCTTATTACATGCCTGTTTTAGCAGGGGGAAAAGTAAATGCACCCTTCTGTACAGTATTTCAGAAGGAAGGACCAATCATTGTTATTACTGACTGGCCGGTCCAGAATTTGGAACTTGCTTTCCTCAGGTTTTTGCTCATGCTGTTCCTCCCACCCAGCAAGCTCTTCCTAAACCATCTCCTATCACCATGATGATTTCTGCATTCATTTCAGAGTTAGGCTCTGCATTTATTCCTGAGGCGTCTCTCCTGCCTGTCCCCTCCACTCAGCCAAGTTCTTCATGGCTACTTGCATGTCTCCTGGATCACACAGCTAACTGTGCAATTCGTTGTTTAATTTTATAGTTTCACTAAACTGTGAGTTTCCTTGGTACAAAGCTCTAATCTTTCTTCACTGTTAGGTCCTCATAGCCCAGCACCCTGCTAGGCACACACACACTAGGTATTTAATACATATTTGTGAGCAAAGGAATGGATGGATAAATAAGAAATGAATGAGTTAATGAATTGATATTTTAATAGCCTCTTCCCCATAGTTGGAAGTTCTGCTTAGCAGTCTATTCTCTCACTTTTCTATCTCTTCCATACATTTCAGTGCTGGCTTTGCCAACACTGAAAGAAAACAGTCGACAGGCTAAAGTTCCAACTCCTTGCCAGCAGATCCTTATGCCACGCTGTCATGGGAAATCTCGACCCCTTGCCACCCCCTTCTGCACCCCTGGCCCTGTGTGTTCACCTCTAGGGAGATTCAAAGAGGGTGAGCGGCAGCGGTCATAATCACTTGCTATCATAATGTAAATTTGCAAACCTATGTAATGTACCAATCTAATTTCCTTTGAAAAACATATACCCAGATAGTCTTTAAGTTGTGAACAATGTTTTGTTTCATTTTGCAGATATTTAAGAAATGTGAAGCAGGAATTGTTAATAACAGGAGGAAAAGAGTGGCCTCTTGTGTAAAGCCCGGAGTGCTGAGCTTGTGTGTGCATGCATTTACCGCCATTAATGATAATAGGAGTTAGGTGCATAATGGGTGTTCCTGTAAATCTATCCAGAGGATAATATACCCCTTAATTTAAAATAGCTGATAAAGTGTGAATAAAGGCCTCTCATCTTTACAACTTCTCATTTCTATTAAGAAAGGAATCACATAACATTTTAGGGCTCTCAACTAATTAACTGTGCATATGGATTTGGAGGGCACGTGCTTTGTGCACAATAGACTATTCCCCCATCTACATTCATAGGCGGCGGAAGCTCTGGGGCTGAGAACCCTGGATGTGATTGAACTTCATAGCACCGGCTTTGATTGGAAGGGGTTGTCTGCTTACCGCTTGTCAAAGGAGAGGAATCGCTAAATCAGCGGTAGGGACGGAAGGAATGGGAACTGAGGCAAACAAGAGAGCTAAAGAAAAGAGATTACATCCTTTGGAAGATTCTAAGTGTCTGCTACATTGCCTTGAAAATCTAACACATGCTGGGAGACCCTGAAACCTGTTCATAGTGGCAATTCTACTGTAAAACCTACTTCTTAGAGATCAACCATATGAAAATCTGGCTGTTTGGAACGTAGAATGTGCAAAAAAGAACAAAAAAATTTGATTCAACATAAACACATAAAAAGGTCTATGTGCTTTCCACTTGCTATATTGTATTTTATTTGTGATCCACCCAGCTCTTGATGTGTGCCAGGCCCTTCTGGCTAATGTCGACATTAGTTGATGTTTGGTCTTTAGCTGTGACATATATAATTAACAAACAAGATAAATATACACTTTGCCATTCTGATATAAGTGGTGTAATTAGATATTTCTCCTTACATTCCTTCCTTAGAGAGATATTCACAATCAGCAAAAGGATGATTAAAACAACAAACCGATACATTTCCAGAATTCAACAAAAGAAACAATTTCTGTAAAAGCCACTAATTCAAAACCAAAGAAATTGTTTGATATGAACACTTAGTAAGCACTCAATGAAGATGTGTTCAATTAAATGGAATTGAATTGAAAATTCAAAGGAATCATTCATATTCAATTCAAAACAGTGCTTTTCAAATGTCAGGAAGTTGGAAGCTACTCCTTTATTCACAATTTCCATGTAGTTTAGAAAAAAAAAAGTATTTGTCTTCTATTATTTCTTATTCTTCCCTATGTAATTAGAGGAAGGCTATAAAGTCTTATTAAGACAATCTCTAGACTTTTTAAATTACATGAACAATATAAAGCAAATAGGCCCTTTTAGGGAGAGGGATTTTTTTAAAGATTTGCATTTCCAGCAGAGCCATGAGTAACAGAGCCAGTGTCAAGGAGAGTGGATGCCACCAGCGTTCAATGAAGAAATTGTATGATCTGCCATTTAGCAATTTCACTTCTGTGTCTTTTTTCTCTTCCCTAAACCTACACCCCCAACTCAGTTTCTTTTTTTTTCCTCTGTTGCTGATCCAGATGCTCCAAAGAAATCAATATTTGTTGATTTTAGGACACAGGCAGTAAATCTGGAGTATTTTCAGCTTGAAGGTGTTTCTCTCTAACCCTGCTGAATAACATGGTGACTTTGCTACTCAGAGTTTAGGTGAGGCAACATGTGACTCCAAGGCATGTCTGTAAAAATGTCCATGGAGCAAGAAGGAGACTCATAACGTTGCTTTTTCAAAGTGCAATAAAACACCCAAATCTACCAAGAGCTAGTGGGCCCTTGCACATGACAATTAAACATTAACAGCCCCAGGGCCCTGGGAGCAGGGCCCAGCAACCCTTTGAAGCCCTGTTTGCCAATTAAACACCGTCTGACATTCGAGTCAAGGTGGCAGGGATCCAAAGCAGAGATAGGAACGTCAACCACTTCAGGGGCATTCATTAGCTCCCCAGACATTCCTGGCGTGGCCTGTTTCTTTACTATTGCCAAATCCACACCCTGCTCTGGAACTCAGGGGCTCTGAGAAAGTTTACTCAGATAAGCTTATTATGGAAATAGCACTTTGTCACCGTTTACTACTCACTCCTTGTTCAATTATCTTTTATCTGTTTAGAGTATTTGCCAGCTCTCCCAAGGTTCCCTGGGATGAGGCCACTGGATTGAAAGTCCTCACTGGGGCTGTAGAAGGGGTAGGGGGAGGTACCACTCTGTGCTTGCCTTTCTGGTCCAAGAATGCTGAGCTCTCTCCAGCATTTTGGAAACTGCTAAGAGGGTACTAGTAAAAGATCTTGTATTTTCTGATCATGGGAAAAACTGCCCAACCTTGAGACAGAGACCTAGGTATCCTGAGGCCCCACAGTCAGCAGAAAGAAGGATGGTGTGTCATTTTGATTATAATAGTGAGCATTTAATGCATATTACTAGGGCAGAATGATGAGCAGGGAATTTCACCTACTCCCTACCACCATTCATATTAGACGCTCTCTCTCCGAATTTATGCATAGCTTTGGAACCAATATAATTGAGGTTTTTGTTGGTGAGCCTCAGTCAAATCCCAGTCGCCACCATCACCACGGTTCCTATTGAGTCATCTGGTCTATTATCGTTGTGGAGTACCATTTTTGTATTTTAATGCCTTCAGATTGAATGACTTCTCTATGGTGAACTCATCCCAGATGTCAGGATGCATGTTGCATTTTTGCTGCTGTGATGGTTTTAAAATATGCCCATAAGTTCTTTGATACTCCTCCCATCAAAAGGTAGAGATTAATTACCTTTCCTCTGAGTATGAGCTGAAATTACTGACTCACTTCTAACCAACAGAATGTAGTGGCATCCAAATTTAGGTAATACAGGTCATTGAAGCTTCTGTCCTGCTCTTTCTCTCTTATTGCTGGCTCTAGTGGAAGCCACTACCAAGCCATAAGGAAATGCAAGAAGCCCTGTGGAGAGGTCCCTGTGGAGAGGTTCACATGGGGAAGAACTGAGGCCTTCTGCCAAAGTCCATGCAACCGAGCTTAGATGCAGATCCTGCAGCCCCACACAAGCCTTAGATGGTTTGTCCCAGTTGACAGCTTCAGTGCAATCTCAGCAGAGTCAGGACCACTCAGCTGATCTGCTCCCAAATTTGGGATAATTTGTTACGCAGCAATAGATAACTAATATACCTGCCTCAACTAATTGCCAAGGAACTGCAAAAGGATCCCAGGCAAGAGTCACCAGACCTTGTTGTTTACAGGCTGTGTGACCTTGGAAGATTTACTCACCTGCTCTGGACTTCAGATTTCTCTGTTGATACTTGCTGTTCTAGTTGATGTGAGAGTCAGTGAAGTGTTTTTGAGAAATTAAGAGTTCTCTGATATCATAATTGTATTGTTGTCCAGAATATCTTCTTCTGCAGTGATTCCCCCTCTTGCTTTCATGCTTCAGCTAAATTAACCATTTCTCCTCAAAAGAGGCAGCTTCACTTTTGCCCTGTGTAGAATGTCCTCTCCCTATTCTAATTATCTAAAAAATGAAATATCTCTGTGCATAATGTGCTCAGCTGTTCACCTGCAGCACAATGTCTTTCTGTTCATTCTTCCTTCTAACAGAACCCAGATCACTTTCAGAAAGTCACCTGCTCCCAAGCTACTCCTTATCCCCAGTTCTAAGAGGAAACTTTGATCGATTCAAGCCAATCAGAGTTATCTCCCTCCCTTTGTCAGTGACTGGTTTAGTATCTGTCATGTAATGCAATTCTGGCCAATGCTCTGGGGGAATTCTGGGAATGTTTTTCTTGCTTCAGAGAATGAGAAAAAGACGTTTTTGTTCTTCCCCTGGGCCTTCATCCTGTCTGGATTTGGCTCCTGGGACTTCCGTGTCATTGTACTGCAACCCAAAACTCAGAGGGTGCAGCTGAGAGTCATTGCAGAGAAGTGGAGCTGGAGTCCTGGCCCCACGGCACCATAAGCCCGCCCCTGTAAGAAACTCTTAGTACTTGGGACTGCTTTCCTGCCAGAGCCAGTTTGAGTAAGGATGACCTACTGTGGTTAAATCAGGCTTCAGAGCCAGGGCAAATCTCATCTCCTGCAAGATGCCTGCATGGGCCCACCCACCCTTGAAGGCTTTTCTCAGCTTAGAGGTCCTGTGCCTCTGCCTGGGTGGGCAGCTCCAGTGGTCATCACTGGATGCACACAGCTTTGTTCCAGTATTCAATATCAATGCATCACACCCTCACTTACCACTGCACCCACCACACTGAGAGCCTCATGGAGAAAGGGCAGATTATTAGTGTCTGAATTCCCCATACCAGCACCAATCCTGCACATGAATATGTTCAGTAAGCCCAAAAGGTTCTGTTGAACCTTCCTCTAACCCAGTGGGTACCTACTGACCTAACAGTTCCATAACTTAGGAAGGCACACAAATGATTCCTCACATAATATGCATCATTTGTTCTGTGATATTGGTTTCTCTGTCTATTCGGAGAAGCAGCTGGGATTTTTTTTAATTGCCATATATTAATTACTTCATTATAAATGGATGAATCCAGGCAACAAAGCCACTTACTTTCTGTTCAAAGCCTCTATTGGTTATTTATTCTTAACTATGTGAGTTGAAAATTATAATCTACCTACAACATGTGAGAATTGAGTAAGATAATGCATGCCAAAACCCATAGCATAGTGCATGGGAAGCAATCAGAGATCTATGAATTGCAGGGGTTCTACAAAGTGAATGATGCCTAAATAGTAAATACTAGTGCAAATCTAGATAAATCAATGGAAAGAGAGAGCCTGTTCACAGGGATTAGTACTAAGCAATGAACTATCCAGATCTTCACTAAGAAGGGTAATTAATTGTGGGGAGTGACTGAGACTTTATTGGAAGACATGAAAGGCTGACATGTATCATTGCCCTATTCTTTGTAACTTCAATTGAAGGTTTTACTCTCTTATGATCAGGTACTGCAATAAAATGACTACAATTTGGAAATCAAACTTTCTCTTCCATGTAGTTGCTGAATGAAATTTGTCATTATTTTTCCATAGTTGAATATACTATCTGGTTTGTGCTCTTCATTCTCCCAAATAGGAAATTTTCCTGAGCAAGGAGAGTCAAGAGGATGGCCTCAGATGTATGAAGCTCGTCACTATTATCCATAGGGTGCACCTTCCCAATCTTTAATGTTTCAAAAGCATAAGAACTCTCAGAAAGGCCCCCTTTTTGCTTAAATTGAAATGAGAAATTAGTGTTAGTATTTAATTCTGCCTTGTAATCAATGTTTCCAACTTCCTTCCCTCTCTCTGCCCCCTCAAAAGCAAGTTTATAACTACCCAACTTTAAACTAAAAGAATTGTTTCTATGGGTTATGATTGAGAACAGTGTGCCAGAGACCAAGACTGAAGTTGAGATTGGATCCCCACAAGATCATGTCATTTTTCACAGAAAAAGGGTTTTAACCCAGATATAATAGGCAACCCCATGAGCAAAGGTGACCACTGATCACATTGGTCAAAGGGGACTGGGCAAGAGTGTGGGGGCTCACATAGACCTTGACTATGAGGTCTCAAGAGACAGGCACAAGGCCTGCTTCATCTCTAACTCTCCACTACACACCCCATAGTGCCTGAATCACACATACTCAGAAAATGCTGTTGCTCTGAATCTTCATTTCCCCAAAGCCAATGGGATATTTAATGGCTTCGTTAAATAAATGTAGAAACTGTGGGTCTCATAGGAAATTGAAATGAAATTAGAAACATTTTGAAATATGCATAAACTTTAGATGTTTCTCTTTAGCCATATCATTCTGAGTGTTATATGGAAGTGAATCTGTAACTGCAGGCAGAGAGAAGAGAAAAAACCTGCTAGTATTTCTTCCCATCAAGTAGCATTTAAATACACTAAAGATCACCAAATATGCATGTATGCCAGCATACTTCTGAATCAGTTGTTTGAGGGACCACTTAAAAAAAATCTAAAGAATACAAAGCTATTAAGAACATACTGGACAAAAATATTTTGGGACCTGGAGGAGATAAAATACATATTCAATTTATAGACTCATCACACTTTGTCACCAAATCGGGTAGTACCTACAGCTGAGAAGGAACATTACAAAGTCTTTGTATTACGGTGCTTCTTTACCTTCTATTTACAAAGAAAAGTGTTGGAGTAAGACTTTAACTTTATTATGGATATCAATTCCTGAAAAAGCTCTGTGAGTTAGTCTCTAGTGCAAAATTCAAAGCTCAAAAAATTTACAAGTTTTTTGTTTTTGTTTTTACCATGATAATTTTGATCAACCATTGTGGCTGAAAACAAGAAAGACCTTCCTATGGGAATCTTTCCTACAACTGCATTGTTAAACCCAGCCCTATTTGTTGCATAGCCATTCCTTCCCTATGGGGTTGTAATGAAACTTTTATTGTATGCTGCCATCTGCTTCAAGGCAATATCTCCTCTTTTTATTAAAATGTTAGGTGAGCTTTGCACCAGAATCACATATTTAATTTTTTTAATAACTGTAGCTTTATAGTGTTTGATATCTGGTAGGGAAATTCCTTCCCTTCCTTTCTATTAAAAAAGCAACCATTTAAAGTAAACTGTAACAAAAATTTAAATTATTTATCTGTTTATGTTCCAGATGAATTGTCAAATTATTTTGTCATGATTTTTGAAATCTTTATGGAATTTCTGACATCAGTATTGTATTCAATCTATAAATAGATTTGGAAGGAATTGATACCTTTACAATATGTATTCTTCTCTTTGAAGGATATCTATTTTTACTCACTCGTGTGGGTCCTCCTTTATATTTATAAGTAAATTATTTCTTTTTTTGTTCTCATGCATTTCTTATTTATGTTATTGTTGGGTATTTTATATTCTTTTGCTATTATGAATACACTAACTTCTTTATTATAGCATCTTCTTTTTGCTGAAATATAGGATATCCATATATAATATTCTATAATTTGGCTTTTTGTTGAATTCTTAATAATTGAAAAGAATTTTCCCTAATCATCTTTAGTTTTCTAGGTAGATAATTGTATTTCCAGTAAATGAGAGCACTGTGCTCCTCCTTCCAATATCCTTCCTCTCAATTCTGTTCCATGTACTACTGTGCTGGCTGAACCTGTCCACTTCTCTTCCCCACCAATGCCACTCTTGTCCAAGTTCACGTCAGCTCTCACCTTCACTGAGGCCAGAGCTTCCTGCCAAGTCTACCCTCTTTCCCACTGACAGCCTCCTAGTTTATTCTCAGTACTGTCACCTGGACAATCTTCAACATGAAATGATCATGCCACCTGAATGCATCAAATGTCAATGTCTTTCTGTTTCTTTCAAGATAATGATGAAGCTCCCTACTATGGCCTCTAGTGCACAACATAGCTGGTTCTTATCTACTTTACCAGCCTCTGCTACCACTGCAAACACCCACCTGTCCAAGCCCCCTCTAACGTGTCATTTCTAGAACTGTTCTAAGTACCCCTCTTCACCTAGTAAACTCTTAACATCTTTCCACTTGAGTTTTAGACTCACTTTCTCTGGGAAGCCTTCCTTCTAGATCAACTCCTTCAGTTACATATGCTCAAAGTACCCATGGAGCTCTCTGCAGCTTTATCATTAATTCTGTTTCACATGCTACATATGATTACTTAATGGCTATCTATCCCCCTTACAAACTGGAAACTCCATGAGGCTAGGAACCGTATATGTTTTTCACATCATTTTGTTCCCAATGCTTAACAGAATATCTGGCACTTTAATTAGCCAGACTGATTAAACATTTGCAAATACACAACATCTGCAAAAAAAAGTTAAGTAATAATTGTAATTTTTATTTTTTCCTTATTTTGGAAGGAACATCCATAGCATTTCACCATGAAGTATGTTTGCAGTCAGCTGCTGAATTGAACACAGATATTCTTTTTCATGTTAAGGAAGTTTTCTCCAGGTCCTAAATTATTGTCTGGCCACATGGGTACAGATTGAAGCTTCTGCTCAGGTCAGTCCTTCTGGGCTTATTTTCTGTCCTCAGCCTCACCTACAGTGCTTTGCTTCTGATACTGACACTTCTCTAAAGGCAACATTCTATAGCCAATCCTCTTCTATCATTTGTCTTTTGTTTTGTTTAATATCTCTTACCACATAGTGAATGGAAGCTTCTGATGAGGAGGGTGGAGAGTAGTAATGCTACAAAAAAAGATCACCTTTTAAAAATGGGCTGTATCGGCTGGGCGTGGTAGCTCACGCCTGTAATCCCAGCACTTTGGGAGGCCGAGGCAGGCGGATCACGAGGTCAGGAGATCAAGACCATCCTGGCTAACAGGGTGAAACCCCGTTTCTACTAAAAATACAAAAAAAATTAGCCGGGCGTGGTGGCGGGCGCCTGTACTCCCAGCTACTCGTGAGGCTGAGGCAGGAGAATGGCGTGAACCCGGGAGGCGGAGCTTGCAGTGAGCCAAGATCGCGGCTACTGCACCACTTCAGCCTGTGCGACAGAGCGAGACTCCGTCTCAAAAAAAAAAAAAAAAAAAAAAAAAAAGAAGGTCAGAATGGCTGGGTAGCATTCTCATATGCAGCCATTGGGTGCCTAGACCCTGGTAATACAGTGCATGGGGAGAAGCACACCAGTGCCCCACCTCTGTCCCAGGGTGGCTGTGCTGATCTTTTTCAGGTGGCAAAGCGTTTACCAATTACAATTCATCATTCTCAGCTTCTCTGCCTTGTATTCTAGTTGATGGATGAATTTTTTCCAGTCTCGCAAGAGTTCAACTGCCTTTATAATGTGAGGGTATCAGAGCTTATATTAGGGACACCCTGAAGCAGAAGTCTTTAAATGATATCAAAAACAATGACTGCCCTCCTAAGGTGGAGCAAAGAATCCAGAGATTGGCTCTCACTAATCGGTGCTTTTTCAAGAGTGGGCATTGGTGAGGGGGAAAAAAGAAAGAAATCTCTAGAAACTGGGGACTCAAGCATGGGAAGGAAGGAAAAGTGAGAAACATGTCGCAAACAGCTATTATGCCCTGAGAGTCTTTAAATCAGGGACTGGCATGTCACCAGTTCTGTTCTCTAAGACTTAGTGACAGCTCATTTATGAAAAATAAATAAACAAGATTTGATGTCAGATAGAATGTCTATTCCATGAAAACTCTTGTTGCATCTGGCCATAGAAAGCTGCGTTCCTGGACAATCATTCCTCATCAATCCCATGAGGGACACTTTGGCATTATAAGCATGGCAGACACCAAGAGGTTTTATAGTCTCTCTGTTACACTTATTATCAGAATGTTATTAAGAACTTGGTTCAGAACAACACAGCAAATTGTGTCTACGGAACCCCGTAGTAACAATTTCTCCATGTCCCAAGTCTAAGAATACACATTTTTCCTGAGCAACTAATATATATCCATCATGCATGATCGAATTAGGTAACTGATCACACTTCTGTCTACACTGGCTGCTGGGACATTCAGAGTCCACACTGCAGCTCAACATAAATGACTGCAGGACATTAGAGTATGCCACTAGATATTACCATTATTCTTCTAATTTTGCAAGTTTTACTGTGTTGATAATTATGTGCTTTTAATGGTGTTTTATTTTTATCTAAGTCTATTTTTCATATCTGTGTAAGCTACCTCAGGTTTTTTTGGAAAGGGGTCAAATATAAGTAATAATTAAGAATTGTCATCTTTGTATGCCTCCATGGTATGGTCTCAACTTAATCTGGAACATGGATGCCCAGAAACAATTCATAAAAGAGAAAGAGAACATTCATAAGCACCCAGACTCATGACTGTCAGCTTCGCCTGAACTCCTGAAGGGATATGATATGCACTCCTTCCCCTATGGTCAGCTCCACTTCAGCTTATTTGCTTGATGTGTGTGTGTAGAGGGCACAGCCCTGTGTCTGACACATAGAAGTGCTTTTGATAAATTTTGAAAACATAAGTGCGATTTTTGCCTTGGTTCCCAAGTTTGCACAAGCCGTCTCTTCAGAAGGATGGCAACACCCAATGTTACAGGCAGAACAGATGGGCTATCCTAGGACTCCAGGTCCAGTAGCAATTTGGCAGTTTTACCTCTAAAATCGTTTTCTAAAAATAAGTAATTCAAATTTTGTAAATCAAATCCCCATGAAAATAAAACAGGTGGGGAAAACCATTTTTGGCTACCATCCTCCTATCTTTGCCGAACCAGACATAAGGTAACATGTTCCTTTGGTATGGTGCAGTGTTCAAAGTCTCTGTGGTACCTGCAGCCATCCACAGACATTGACCCAGAAATGCTTGCAGGTAAGAAACTTGCCCCCAAATGCCACTATCTACCCATTTGGCATATGAAGCTCATCACAGTGCAACCATTCATTCACTGGACAAACATTTGTTGACCACTTGCTATACTACCTACCATGTGCCAGTTCACACACTCTAAATTGGAAATAAAGTTTCAGAAATAGATCTTACATGTGCTTGTATTTTCCTTCATTTTGTCTTTTGGAAATATATGGGTTTATAGAAATCAATTTTGATATTAAGATAGGTCTGCAAATACAATCAATGATATCAGAGGTATGGAAAGCCATGGATATCTGGCAGATATATTGTTCTGTTCCAGAGTGCCATAGTTATATTAGACTTGCTGCTATAAAATTAAGCTCAAACACAAATTTTGCTGCTATAAAATTAAACTCAAAGACACTCAACACAGCTATAGAATTACACTTTAACAGGTATTGGCTTAACAAAATCAAAAGTTGTTTCTAGCTCATGTTGACAGTCTTGGGAAAGTAAATAAGTGCATGAGATTTCCCTCCTTCCCTTGGTAATTCTGGGATCCAGAACTCCTTCCAAGTTTTTCTGTGGTTCTGCTGCTAGGGCTGCATCATCGTCTGGATTCAGCTGACAGAGAAATAAGTATGAGGGCACTCATGCCCGAGGATTTTATGGGCCAGGCCTTATAGGGGCATCAATTTGCCGGTATTTCCTCAGCTATAATTCAGGTGCATGTCCACATGGCCACACCCAACTGCAGAGGAGATAGAGAAATGGAACCCAGCTGTGGTCCAAAAAGAAGACAATTAAGATTTTGATGAACAATTGGCAATTTCTGTTCACAGAAAGAAAAACTAGTTCCAGTGGGTGTTAAATGGAAAACATATTTGAGTTCAGTAAAAAGCAAAACCACTTAAAAATTGTAAATGTCCAATGGTGCAACACGTGCTTTGTGATGTTGTGAGAAGTTCCACATCCTTCCTCAAGCCACGATGAGACAACCTATATTGCAGGGTGGCTGCAAAGATAGTTTCGGCCTAGGGTGCAACTGAAGGGCAAGCATTGGCTCATAATAACTTACAGTATAAAATAGTTTATTTTTTATAAAATATTACTTCATCAGATCTTCAGTTAAATGTTCTCACCTTCAAAGTCCCCCCTTCCTAAAAAAGAATCTCCATCTCCTTCTGACATCTTTCTTTAGTTTATCAGTACCTGGATTTATTTTTATTTATTATTATTATTAGTAGTAGTAGTACTAGTAGTATTTTGAGAGAGGGTCTCACTGTCACCCAGGCTGGAGTGCAGTGGCACAATCTCAGCTCACTGCAACCTCCACCTCCTGGGTTCAAGTGATTGTCATGCCTCAGCCTCCCAAGCAGCCGGGATTACAGGTGCCCTCCATGACACCTGGCTAATTTTTGTATATTTAGTAGAAATGGGGTTTCGCCATGTTAGTCAAGCTGGTCTCCAACTCCTGACCTCAAATTATCCACCCACCTCGGCCTCCCAAAGTGCCAAGATTACAGGCGTGAGCCACTGCACCTGGCCCCCGGATTTATATTGCATGCTCTGCTTGTTTGTTTATGGTCTGTTTCCCATTCTGATTCTGGGATGATAGCTTCTTGAGGGCAACGACTTTGACTCTGTTGTTTAATGCCATTTACCTATTCCTAGGACAGTGCCTGGGCACAAATATATGCAAACATTTGTTGAATGGCACAAATGGATAAAAAAAATGTGGTATATGTACGTGATGAAATACTATTCAGCCATAAAAAAGAATAAAATTCTACCATGTGTGACAGAATGGACTAACCTGAAGGGCACTGTGTTAAGTGAAACAAGCCAGGCATGGAAATACAACAAACATGACATGATCTCAGTCCTATGTGGAACTTCAAAAAGTTGAGCTCATAGAAGTAGAGTAAAATAGATGTTACTAGGGGCTAGAGGGCACAATGGTGAAGGGGTTGGGGAGAGGTTAGACGACTGGTACAGTGTTTCAGTTCGATGGGTGAAATAAATTCCGGTGTTCCAGTGCACAGCAGGCCCACTATAGTAACACTAATGTATGTATATTTCAAAAAAGAAGTTAGAAGAGAGCAATTTGATTGTTTTCACCACAAAGAACTGATAAATATTTGAGGTGATTAGATATGCTAATTACTGTGATCCTATCATTGCACAATGTATCCATGTATCGAAACATTCTGTTGTACCCCACATATGTATACTATTATTATGTGTCAATTAAAATTTTTCTTAAAATAGAAAAATAAATTCGGTAAATGACTAAAAATAAGAAAGATAAAAGCAGAAACAGTCTATACAAATGATTAAGCTACAGTGCAAACTTCACATAAATTTAAGATCAAAGTGCTGAAAGAGCTTAGAGTACTTTGAATTCAGCATCTTCATCCCTTCATTCTTTTGTTTGTACTGTCAGTCAAAAAACATTTGAAAGAGGGAAAGAAAAGAGGGGGAGAGATCTCTTGGGGTCCTTCATAAGATGGAGCTAACCCCACTCATGAGGGCTCCGCCCTTAGGACCTAATCATCTCCCAAAGTCCTCACCTTCAAATTCCGTCACATTGGGGTTTAGGACTTCGACACAGGAATTTCGTAGGGACACAAACATTAACTTCATAGAAACAAATGTGTGTTGAAGTGAGATTTCACAGTACTGGTGTGTCATTTTTGTTTTTGTTTTTGTTTTTTTGAGACGGATTTTTTGCTCTGTTGCCCAACCTGGAGTGCAATGGCACGATCTCAGCTCACTGCAACCTCCGCCTCCTGGGTTCAAGCGATTCTCCTGCCTCAGCCTCCCGAGTAGCTGGGATTACAGGCGCCTACCACACGCCCAGCTAATTTTTGTATTTTTAGTAGAGACGAGGTTTCACCACGTTGGCTAGGCTGGTCTCAAACTCTTGACCTCAGGTGATCCACCCGCCTCAGCCTCCCAAAGTGCTAGGATTACAAGCCTGAGCCACCGTGCCTGGCCAGTGTGTCCTCTTTTAAGTTTCCATACTCCTATGGGTAAAGAAAGATGGCTTTCATATGTGACATAGATGGACCAAGGAGAAATCACAGGACTTGAAATCAGAAAAATCCAGAGCTTGGTTCTGCCACGTGCAATATTGTGATACCCACTTTACCAATCAGACACTACAATTCCTCATCTGCAAACTAGATCCATAAATATTTCCTCAGTTGATATAACTTATCTTAAAGGCCTGGATCATAGTAATAAATCAATAGAATATCAGTTGAATTAAATAAGATCAGGAGACACAGTCAACTACACATCAGAATTGTGGAAATGCTGTCTTGCCTTGCTCCATGACTGTATGAGTGAATAACAAGGCTGGTCACTCCTCACGCATAATGGCCCTGCCCCACACTCTCTAACCCTTGAAGTGCTGAACACATGTTGGGTTTAACATAAGTAGTCAGCAAATCATTGTTGATTGTTTGGGGTTTATTAAGTGATATCTCACAGATTTGCATTAGATAGTCACTCATTCTTTGTCTTTGTGTATAATCATAGGAATTGCCCTATACTCTCTTTATAACTGATAAAATCACTCACATTTGTGGTTTTATTCTATCCTAAGTTCAGTCTTAAAAAGTAGACACTTTTATCACCACTGTACAGAAAAGGATATCGAAGTGTTTAGAGGTTATGAAACTTGCCCAATGTAGAAGACTTTCAAGTTACAGAGACACAGCCTCAAATCCTCTTCTGACCCCCAATCTGTGCTTATCCAACCCCAGGAGAGCTCCTCAAGCCACTCATAGGCCATAGAACACCATGGGATCACAAAGAAATCTTTCCTGGCTAGAAACAACCTATACATTCCTTTGTAAGGCTTCCAAACATTGTCTGCTAATGAGGTGCCTCTGGGTTAAACAGCATCACTTGCCAGCCTGCCTGAGATGGTACAACTTTTTTCAGACCTTGACATCATGTCTGTAGGATTATCTTCTCCTCTGTTATGTAAAAATAGTCCTTGCACTCATCATAGCCACAGCCACCGCACATGATGCCTCCTTATCTGGGACATGCAGGCCTCTCCTGCAGTGAGCTCCACTTAGCCATGTGCCCTGGGAACCTCTGACCGGTGGTCAGCAGCACGGAAGCCGAAACATCCTGGGCTGTTCTGCGGCTGCCTCTTCCTGACAGTTTCCCAAGTCTATCTCTGGCTGCCAGTGTTTTCTTTTTAAGAGTAGAGAATGTTACTCACTGTCTAAACTGATCAGTAGCTCATACTTAATGATTTATTAATTGGACAAATATTTGTTGAGTGCCTTTACTGGAGCCAGGCTTTGTTCATGGCATGTGGGATAAATCAGTGAACAGAAGAGACAACCATCACCTTCCCAGGGGATTTTACATTCTAGTAAAGGGAAGTGAATTATCAGCAACAGATATAACAGTTAACTGAAGAATCTAGCATAATGGAAGGGGACAAACACTATGGGGAAAATAACTCATGGAGGAAAAAAATGCTGAAGAAGTCAGCTGGCAATTTTAATAAAGTAAAATGTAAATAGTCCTCATTGAGCAGCAATATTTAAGCAAAGACTTGCATATCTGCAGGAAGAGAGTTTCAGACATAGGAGACAATCAGTGCAAAATCCTGCAGTATCAGGGTGCCTAGCATGTTCAATACATTGAAGAAGGTTAGTGTGGCTGGAGCAGAGTGAGGGGTGAAAAGCAGAGAGGAGATCAGAATGGTAGGGCCAGGTCATGTTGAACCAGGTGACATAAGAGTCCTACCAACTTAAAGTATAATAATAATAAAATAAAAAAATAAAAAAATTTTAAAAAGTCCTACCAGCCTGTTGAAGGACTTTGGCTTTTAATATGAGTGAAATGGGGAGCCATTGGAGAGAACTAAGGAGAGGAGGGATACAGTCGGACCTATTTTTAAAAGAGTAGCTGACCACTCTGTTATGAATAGACTGAGGATGTGGTGAGTGGGGGCTTGGTGGGGAGTTGGCAAGCCACTGTAGGAGCAGGGAAAACAGGAAGCAATTGTAGTAATATCCAGGTGAGAGATGCCTGGAGACTCATAGGTAGCAAAGCAATGGACAAGATGATATAACTGGTGTGCTTTCCTGATGGATTGGACATGGGATGTTAAAGAAGAGACGTGAATGACTAAGGTGTGGGGCTTAAACAGTGTAAGTGCCTCAACTACTGTGCATATGAGGAGGAGTTATTAAAGTTTCCATTTTCCTTATGTTAATGTTAAGATGTCTCATCCACAGTCACGCGTATCTGTTGAGCAGGCAGTGAGATACAAGCCTTATAAAAAGACAAAGTACTAGGGCAGAGGTAAAAATCTAGGGATCTTCGGCATATAGGTGGTATTTAAAGCCATGTGACTTGCTGTGAACTGAATGTGTGCCCATCAAATTCATATGTTGAATCTCTAATCTCCAATATGATGGTATGTGGAGACTGGACCTCTCAGAGGTCATCAGTTTTGGATGAGTCACCAGGGCAAGGCCTTCGTAATGGAATTACTGTATCTCTCTCTGTGCCTGCACCAAGGAAACATCATGAGAGGATACAACAAAAGAGAGGCTCTCACCATGCTGGCACCCTGATCTTGGGCTTCCAGACTTTTGAACCCTGAGGAATAAATGCTGTTTAAACCACCCAGACTAGGCTAATTTGTTATAGCAGCCTGAACTGACTACGACAAAAGTAAAGGAAAAAATCAAGGAAGTGGGTGAAGAGAGAACCAGAGACCAAGGACTGCATCTCAAACTCTCCAAAGGTTAGACTATGGGAGAAGTGGAGGAATCAGACAAAAGGCTGAGAAGGAGCAGAAGAGAGGTGGGAGGGAGACGTGGAAATTCTGTGTTCTGGAAGTCAGGTGAGGAAAAGGAGTAAAGGCAGAAGAGGGCAAGAGGATTGATTGTGTCAACTGTTGAAGAGAGGTCAAGTAAGATGAAGACCAAGAACTGACCATTGGATCTGGCAAACTGAAGGTCATCAGTGATGTTAACAAAAACAGTTGCAATGTCAGAGTAAGTTCAAAAAAGAGTAGTAGAAGTGGAATAAGAGTTGGCAACTCTTTTGAAATGTTGCACTGCAAAGAAGTATTGAGAAGTGGGCAGTAACTGGTGGAATAAGAGGGGCAGAAGAAGGTTTTGTTTTGTATTCTAAAATGTGAGAAATAACAGCATGTTTGTAATCTGATGGAATAATCCAGTAGAGTGTGAAAAACTGATGAAGGGAAACTAGTCAACATGATGTTCTTGAGTAGATGGGGGAATAAGAACTAGTGTGCAAGTAGAGGTCATGGCTTTAGACAGGCACAATAGTTCATTTATAATAACAGGATCTAAGGCAGAATCTAGGGCAGAGGCCAGGACACTTTTCCTCAAGGGCAGGATATTTGTTATTTTGGGTTTTGCAGGCCATATGTTTTCTGTTGAAACTACTCAAGTCTGCTGATGTAGCTCCAAAGTGGTCGTAGCTGATATTTAAATGAGTGGGTGTGGTTGTCTTCCAACACAACCCTATTAACAAATACAGGTGGCTTGATTTGGGCCATAGTTTGCTGACCCCCTAGTGGTCTAGGGTACAATCATGGGATAATATTCTCAAATGTGTTCTCTACATGTAAGTTCAAACATTTGGCCCAATGTTTGAGTTGGAAGATAGAGCTCAAAAACTTTGGAGATGAAAAAAAAATCAAGAAGAGATTTTTCCTGATGTTATTTGCACCAAAATCTCAGAAATCACCACTAAAGAACTTATACTTGTAACCAAAACCACCGGTTCTCCCAAAACTGTTGAAATAAAATAAAATTTAGAAAGGAAGAATCAAGAATTCACTTCTACAGAGATCCAATGAAGCGTAGCATTTACCAGACTGTAGACCCCAACAGCAGGGAATGAAATTTATTTATCTCTATTATGCCACCATCTAGCCCCAAGCCAGCACATGGTATAGTAGGTGCTGTCTTTGGTAACTACAGAGCACTACATGGTATAGTAGTGGCTGTTCATTGATAGATTGAATGACCAAATGACCATTCTCACCCTCCTAGACTCATTTTCCTTGGTTTCTCAGATAAAACTGGGTCTTCTGTGCTGCCCCTTGAGAAGGTACAAGGAGAAAATTTGAAGCTAAATGAAATGATGATTATTATTTTTTACACCAAATAATTATCACCCTTTGTTGAATAAAATTATTGGTTAGGAAGTGAGTGAGGATTTTTGAATGAATTAATGCAAACTCAATGCCACCAGGAACAAACTGAAAGGATAGGTATTACTCATTGCTGAGCAATGGGATTATCTTTAGGATGAAGAAGATGATGATGATAGCAATGATGACGATAATGGTGATGATGATGATGATGGTCATGATGGTGATGATGGCGTTGATAATGATGGTGATGATGGTGCTGACGGTGATAATGGTATTGATGGTGATGATGGTGATAATGGTGGTGATGGTGGTGATGATGATGGTGATTATGGTGATGATGATGGTAATGATGGAGGTGATGTTGGAGTTGATGGTTGTGAGTTTGGTGGTTGTGATGATGGTGATAATAGTAATGTTGAGGGTGGTGATGAGGGTGTTGATAATGATGATGGAGAAAGTGAAGGAGGAAAAGTGGCAGGTGCCACTACAGCAGCTCTTACAGTCATTGCTTCCTTCTGCTAACAGGCAAGGAATATCACAGAACTAGAATCAGAAGGTTTGGGTTTGAATTCCAGCAGTGATGTGTTAGCTGCTCATCTATGAGCTGATCACTTTGGCTTTCCAAAAGATCACAGCTTCCTCATTAATATCATAGTAACAAATATAATCCTTGCCTGCCTAATAAACTCAGTGAGGGACAAATCAGCACATGGATTAAAATGAAAAGCACTGCATGTACCAGGCTCACAATTACTATCATAAGTCTCTTCTCTGCCAGACTTGCCCTACTGAGTCCTTTGTAGGATCTCATTCTTCCTTTAGATGATTAGCTTTGAAAGAGAGAAGCTGACCCAAAAGTCACTTAAAGTAGCAGCAATTATTATCAGTTCAGGCATCACTGTATAGGAACATATCATATATTTTATCTGTCCTAGTCTGCCCAGCCCCTCCCAGAAACCATTAAAAATACCTACCCCCCTGCAGGCTCAGCCCACTCTGACCTTTTTGGCTTTATAGGACTCCCTTAAATCCCTCCAGTGCACTCCAGAATTATTCTCTACTCCCTTAGCAGATATTCATTGGGGTGAACATCACCATGGCACCTGCATTACCCTAAGGCCACAGCCTCCTTATCTTACTCCCATTGTATGGAACTAGTCTCTCTGCCTGCCCAGCCTTCCAGCAGGTGGCCATTTCTCATCAGTTTCCACTTACAGCTGAATTCCAACCCTGAGCCCTAGGCTGGTGAGCAGGGGCCTTCACCGCTGATCAACATCCTGACAGCCCCTTTCCAGAGTCCCTTTCCTGAGTACGGATGGATCTTCTTGATCTATGCTTGACATAGAAATCCTTACTCCGTGCTGAAAATTGCTGGTGCCAAAAAATTCCATGCATTGCCCCCAAATATCAACTCATTGGTACTGCTACAGATTCCCATGCGCTTTGGAGATTATAAACTCCTGCCTGGGGCAGAGGCAACCCTATGCCGTGGGCTACTCTGTTCAGGAACCTGCATTCCAACAGCCTTATCTCATTTCTCTTCCCTCCTAAGAACATTCCTATGCCATGGGTACAGAGCCAAGGGACCATCTCTAATGTTTCTTATGGCAGAGACCATTTCTGCTCAGCAAATATTTCATGTGCTCCCCTACATTTTCCAGTTTCCCTTGTGATTAGAATAGGGTCATATTCACAGTTTTGGTCAGAATGAATGGAAGTAATTTATATCACTTGTGGCTGAAGCTATCCCAGGAATGTATGCCTCTTACTAGGTTGTCAAAATCTTGGATGAATAGTCCTCACATCATGGCCACAAGATGGAGTAAGGATGCTCACCCTCATCTGATGTCACCTGAGTGAGCTGAGTGAGGAATAACTCTTCTTGTGTTAAGCTATTTCAATTGGGGGTGGGGGGGGGGGTTGACTCTTGGGACAGCTAAAACTAATTATCCTGATGATCTATCCTCCAACTTAGACCCAAGGAGGAGCATGTTTTGAAAATATTCTCTTCTACCGTGTATGTAAATATTTCAAGAAAATGCTCCTTTGTGAAAAAATTTTAGGACATGGTTATGTCTGCTTCTGTGAACAAAAACTACCAAGAGAATACTTCACATCTTTTATATATCAAAGTCTCAAGCTCCTTGGGCTGCAATTCTATCAACAAATGTTACAAATACACTTGGATTCTTGATCTCATAACACAATATAAATACACACTGGTGAGATCTTCTTCAGTGCTTTCGCAGTGCTAAATACCAGTGATGAAAGCAAAAATATGGTTTTCTGTAACCAGATGCTCTACATGGAAAGAATGATATTGCTTAATCGTTTCATTAATGCCTTCTTTTCTTTGTCCTGGAAAATGCTGTTTTGTCTCTTCTTTTGATGTCCTTCCCCAGCATGTTTGCTATAAGACGACTCTAACCCTTCCTCTGATCTGCTTTCCTAACAAGGATTGCAGAAGAATTCTGTGCAGATGCTGAAAGGCAATATAGAAAGAGGAGGTGGTCTTTGAAGCCCTGTGCCAGAAGTGACCACATATCCCCAAAGCAGCATCGGGAGCCACAGCAAACATTTACTTAGCACCCACCTTATGTCAGGCACTTTGCTAAGAGCTTTATCCCTTGCCCCCATAGCAACTCTACAAATTGGGCCTGCTATCACCATTGTAAGAGAGGACACTGAGTCTCAGAGAGGCTTAAAAACGAAGAGCTGTCACACTCCAAAGCCGTGCCTTTTCCATGACATCATGGGCCTTCCATTCAGATGCCGTTGCCACTAGCCAGATGCCTCCAAGACATCTGGCTGTTGGCCAGTCTAAGAAGGGAGCAGGGCGGGGACAGGAGCTAGCCCCTTGAGCACCTACTAAGTGCCGGGACTGTGCTAAGTAAGGCTTTCCCCAGCTCAACCTGTTGCCTAACCTTGCGCCTGGGGATCGGATGACTCGGGGCCTCCTTCCAGGTCACACGCGCCTCCTTTATTAATGTGATAGCTGCCACTGCACTTCTTTTTAGTGAAATATTTTGGGCCACTCAGTCAGTTGTTTGGGTTCAATGAGAAATTGATGCCTCTTTATTCAAAGCTCTGTCAGGAGCTTGGAAAACATCATGCTACTTTGAAAAATGAGGGTTTTTTAAGATTAAAAAAAAAGCCCTGATGATTTAAGAACTTCTCTGGTTGCCAGTTGGCCCCACTCCTCCTCTGGGAGCCAATCAGGAGCGACCATGGTAATAAAAGAGTCCCTCTCCCCCTTCCTGGCTGCTTTCAAGAGTGATTAGTGGAGGGGATTCATAGGCCTTGGTTTTGTGTTGTTTTGTTTTGGGGGGGGGGTTCTTTTTTCCTTGCACTTGGAGAATAAGTTAATTATGATTGGTTAAAATTTGTGTGTTTTTGCTTTTATCCCTGAACCACAATTAGAGCTCCTGACAGCCTCCTGGCCCTCAGAAATTCCAGCTGGTATAATAATTGATAACCGTGGTTATGAATAGATTGGAAACAAGACTGTGAAAGAATGCCTAGCCACTTCAGAGGGTCATTTATAGCGTGCTGAAGGGAAAAGAGAATTTCAGGCCTGGAAAGCTTAGAAACAGAACGAGTTTTTATCAGTTTCCTTGACACTGGCAGATCAAAGCCTGGGTTGCGCTCTCTAAGGGTTACAGATAATGGGGTGGCCGCTAATTCATTCTGCTGCTGGAGCTGAGGCCTATTCAGAAGGGTAAACCAGGGAGTTTTCATGGTGCTGCTTTGTAGTCTTTATCACAGGACCAATGCAAGAATCACCTTTTTATTTTAATGAGACATTTGAAAAGTATTTGATTCCCTCTGGCTAGGGGCTCTTTCTCCCGGCTGAGACAGTAAGAAAGGATTGCCCAATGGAGCTGGATTCTCTGAAAGCAATAGTATCTGCATTCTACCCACCTGCCCCCCTTGTCAGTTTAATAATTTCAGTGCAGGCAAAAGCTGGGCACGTGGGAAAGGAACAGAATTTCAGAGAATATCCTGAAAACAGAATATTTTCACTTGCTTTTTTTCTAACAATGAGGTTGTCCGCAGAGATGCAAGTTCGATCCCAACTCCACCGTTCTCTGTGTACAACTTTGGGAGTAGATTTATATCCTTTCCTAAAGCTCCTCTTCCTCATCTGTGAAATGGAAATAATGACAACAAGCCTGTCATGTTGCTGCAATGTTCAATGCAGTACTGTATCTAAAGCACTCAAGTATCTAAAGAAGACATCTTCGGTAAGCATTTTGTGATTGAAAGAATGAATGAGTTGTCTCCATCAAGCCTCACAAAACTCCCTTAACTGTAGTGAGTAGATATTTTTAATACTATAAACATGTGTTAAGCATTGTCATGAGCTGAATTATATCTCCCCTAAAATCCATATGTGGATGTCCTAACTCCAGAGCCTCAGAATGTGACTGTATTTGAAGATAGGGTCTTTAAAGAGGCAATTAAGTTAAAAGAAGGTCATATAGGTGGGCCCTAACACATTATGACTGATATCCTTATAAGAAAAGGAGATTAGAACACAGACACACACAGAGGGAAGACCACGTGACGGCACAGCAAGAAGACAACCATCTACAAGCCAAGGAGATAAGCCTCAGAAGAAACCAATTCTGGTCTCCAGAATTGTGGAAAATAAATTGCTGTGCTTAAAGTATCTAACCCGTGGTATTTTGTTATTAGCAGATTAATAACAAGCATCTACTATGTTATTGTCTTTAGTTTACAAATTCTAATACTGTTGGGTTTTTAGGCTCAAGGGACTTCTCTATTTTGGCACAAAGGGACATAGGAATTGCACATAGAAGACTTGGTTTTGGTCCCAGCTCTGCCACTGTTTCCAGAGCAGGCACAACATCCTAACTGAGTTTCTGTTCCCTCACCTAAAAAACTGTGAGGTTAAATGAACAATGTCTTATAACAGAGAAAGGCTGCACACTTGTCATTGTTCCCAGGATCTCCCCAGGTGGAGCCCACAGTTCACCCAGGCCTCCCATCTCCTGGCCTCAGTTTCTCTTCTCAGAACATCTCACAGCCACATAAGATGCAAAGCTCGCCACTGTCTGAGAGCTGCCTCAAACTGTAAGGCCGCAGATAACACCTAGAACTGCTGATTTCTCAGGTTACAGGAAAGGGAAAAAACCCAGGGGGATTGTAAAATCAAGTGAAACTTGTTCACCTATTGCTACTATAGGATGAGTCAGTGAGAGGTCCCACCTGCTCTGGCTGTGCCTGGGCAGCTAGCTGTGCTCCATGGGGAGCCCTTCTACCTCCAGGAGAGGAGTACAACCTGACACTCATGGCAGCATCATCTCTGTCGGCCTGTGATCCGATAATCAGGCATAATTATATGGGTGCCTGTGCCCCAACAGTTCTGAAACTGTTCTACTGAGGCACAACTCCAAGTAGGATGTCAGAACTTCAATGCTAGTTCCACTAAAGGTCTTGCTCAAGAATGAATCCCAGGGCTAGAAAGCATCTCATCCCCAAGGTCTCTGTCCCAGAAGTTCCTTTTCTCTACTTTTCTCCACTCCAGAACCCAGCCGCAAGATGCCTGACAGCCAAGACCCCTGTCAACTCAACCCAGAGCCCAGCAGGAAAGATGAGTCTCCTGGGACTAGGATCAGCCATAGATTTTGCCCACCCATGAGATGGGAAATAAGCCAAAGGGGAACAAATCCACATCTTATGCCTTTTCTTTGTCTTCCAGGTAGAGTCTCACAGCATGCTGTGTGCACAATCAGTGCTCAGTAAATATTGTGAGCTGAGTTTAATTTCTCATAAGTTTGGTGATACATGTGAAACAGCTTACTGGCATTTTCAGTTTGATTGGAAATAAATTAAAACACACAAAGTAGTTTATGAGTGCAGACACTCTTAACGATTCAGAAGAAATTCTGACCTCATGTGTAAAAGGCATCACAGAGTCCTAGAAACTGTAATTCTGCCTCAGAGATGGGAAACAGATTATCCTGAACCGATACAGCTGTCCCCTAACTGTACTGTCTACCTCAATCCCCGGTCCATCCCTCCAACTGCTTCTGGGGAAAAAATGCAAAAACATAAATCTGATCACACCATTCTCTCAGCTTAACACCTTTATTTTCCTAGGAGAAAAGCCAAGTTCCTTATAAGGCATTGCATATCTCTACAATATCAAGCCAGTCAACATCTCCATCCTCATGGGCTAACTTTCTGAGCTTCTACCACATCCCCATGTACCTTTCTTTGAATACTCTTTGCCCATGACCTCTATGTAGTTGTTCATGTGCTTCTCCCAGGCTGGAAGGCAGTTGCCTACATTCCCTACCTATCCAAATCATTCTCGCCTTTTTAAGGCTCAGCTCAAATTCTACTTCCCATTTGTAGTTCCTCTGATTGAGAGATTGTGCCTCCTTCTTCACTTGTTCGGATGTTCCATTCATCCTCGCATCCCCCATATTGTTATGGGGTGGAAAGAGAAGGTGGATGGGGAGGAGATGAAGATGAGAATGAGACTCAGATGCTTTCTAGATAAGCCAACTGGTTCCAGGCAGGGCTCTGTAAGAACAATACCATGATGGAAGATTGTCTGCTTCAGAGTTTTGACCCTGATCTGTTGAGATTCCCAGAAGAATCTCAGTGGCAGGATCAAATTAACTAAAAGTGCAACAAGTTATAAATAATCAGAATGCAAATCCAGTCATCGATAAGTGAGGATACCTATGTGTGGACACTAAATTACTTGAACACCCTGTTGAAGATACTATATACTCTGCCTCATCCTGACATCCTGGTACCTTAGAATTAAAATTATTTCCACACATGTTGTTTGATGATCCTATATTTGAAAGAAGAGAAGTAGAAGGATTGGGGGAGGACATTACACGTGGACTCAGGAAGTCAGACATGCTAGTCCTCAAAAGGGCAACCTCCACAATAACCTAATGGCTGAGGGGTTAGGTGCCCATCACTTGGACACTGTGAGATGGATTCTGACATTTGTTTATCTTAATCCTGATTTTCTATGTCCATGATCTTCCTATTGGTACCATTTCTTTAAATGTATTAATGCCACATCAAATCATAATCAGGTGACAGGTCTTGGTCTGGAAACACTCTGCCACCTCCTATGCATTGAATATTTATTTAATGACTCTAAGAATTCTAGATGTCCTCAGTGGAGCTGCGTTTGGCATTAGAGTTATTTGTTAATAAGTGCATGCCTCCCAACCTTGACGGAGGGCCCAGTGAAGAAAGAGTTTGTGTTCTATTGTCTCTGTTTCATTCAATTGTTAGCTCGGTGCCTGGCATAAAGCACGTGGTAAATAGACTTTGAATGAGTAGATGGCATAATGGATGGACGTGTCAGTGGAGGAAGGCCTGGATGGATGAGTGGATAGATGAGCAGATGGATGAGGAAATAAATGTTACTGGAATCCTAATTCTACCCTTGCTTTAGAAAGAGAGTCAGTAAGAAAACAAACAAAAAGCTTTGATGTGCTGCCATGATGGATGGTGAAGAATTTCCCACAGTGATAAAGTGGATAGCTTAGAAAAATCCAGTTAATGCTTTTACCCCATACCACCTAAAATTACCTTACACTTACAAAATACCAACTTTCTAGCTTGACCAGGGAGCCATGTTTCTCATTGATACAACAAGTTTTTAACAAAGAGCCATACTGGAATTACCAGAGTTCAAGGCATCCATGTGCAAGAAAACATGGAGCACAAAGATTACACAAAGATAGATTGACTCTGTCTCTGGAAATTCAGAAGCCCTTTCAGTCTCTTCCAAAATATGAATTTGAATCTGGAAAATCAGCATCTAAATCCTGCCTCTGCTATTGACTAGCTGTGTGGCTTCTGGCCAGTGTTACCTCTGTGACATCAGTTTCCCCAACTGTCAAGTGAGGATCATAATTTCTGTCCTGCAGAGCTGGTGGAGTTAGTTGTTGTAGAGTGACATCTATAAAAGCCCATTGCATGTGATAAAGTATTAAAGGAATGACCTTGTGTAGTAGATGCATGTGGTTTACCCATCATGCCCCCCTCCGTCAGGGAAACGCCACTGTCTCCTTCTGACTGCATGGTGCAGATACTCCCAGGACAGTTCTGGCTTCTCACAGATTCAGCCTTGCTGCACATCTGTGGCAGACCCAGAAAAGAACACACAGCCCATCTGGGTCCATCAGTGCCCTTCCCCAACTTATTTAAACTGGGACCAGAGAGAGACAGATGCAGTCCCTGTCTGACAATGACATTGAGATCTGTTGGGCCTAGGGGGAGCAGTAAGCAAAATGAAGAAGGACAATTTGAGCAGCTGGATCACGTTCACCAAGAGAGGCCAAGAAGAGGAGAAGAAAGCACGGTCTAGCCTGCAGTGTCTGGATGGCTCACTCCAGACATCCCTGAGACCAGCTACACTGCTCTTCACCTGGATGGGAGAGGAAACACGTGTCCCTGGTCCACGTCCCAGTGAACCAAGCCACGTTCTCTCTACCTGCAACAAAACATCCTTCTCAGGGAAACAGGATCATTGACAATTAATCACTTATCACTTCATTTAAGCTACATGAAGACATGGACATTTGCAAATTACTTCACTCTCTGTTCCCTGTGCCTGCACATAGCAGGTACACAATAAATATTTTTTCAATAAATAATTATATTATTATGATTGTAATAACTACTGGAGTATAAAAAGCTCTACTTATCAGCAAGCAAGTTTAGGCAGCTTTTAGAGACAGTGATACCCTTCTCAAAGTCTTCCTCTGTCCACACAAAGCACCTGCATTTTCTTTTTTTTTTTTTGAGACGGAGTCTCGCTCTGTCGCCCAGGCTGGAGTGCAGTGGCACAATCTCCACTCACCGCAAGCTCCGCCTCCCGGGTTCACACCATTCTCCTGCCTCAGCCTCCCGAGTAGCTGGGACTACAGGCACCCGTCACGGCACCTGGCTAATTTGCATTTTCATATTTTGATGTATCGTCAATGAAAAGCAACTAACTCAAAACAGCATTAGCAGCAATGTGGCTGTGGTCCATAATTTCAAACTCAATCTCTCCATAACTAAAGTTATATTTTCACTGGCTACCATGGGGATCAGAACACGGAGATTAGAAGGCTCAGGTTTGAAGCCCAGCTTTTCACTTGAAAAACTAGTTAAGCTCTCATCCTCAGTTCCCACATCTGTAAAATGGATTTGATATCTGTATCAGGGTTTTTGCAAGGATTCAATTAGGTCACAAATACAAAAAGGTAGTCAAGGCATAAACTCTGTATTTTATGTAGGTTACGTATGTACACACTCATATATATGTATGTGTATGTGTGTATATATTATATATGTGTAACGTAGGTAAACACACACACATACATAAATATACACACACATATATGTATAAACATATATATAATAGTTTATATACAAACTGTTATATATAAACACATATATAAACATATATAATAAGTATATTTATATATCTATATAAACTCTGTAGTATGTTATTTTAAGTACCTACAAGCTGAAATTTCTTCAAAGTGTGTTCTCAGAGATATTTAGATTCCGCCCTGCACGCCACCCCCTGTCACTGCAAATCAAAAGTGAACTTTGGAAAACTTTCCAAAGCCACCTGAAACAGGTTTCTTTAGTGTGAGCTGCTTCCCCAAAAGAAACACTGTCAACTTGTGTCCTCCCTGTGGCCCCTTGTGTGGCCCCCAGTAGAGTGTCATGCTGAAGGGCAGTGTTGTCCCCAGAAGCAGTGCACCGGCCGTGGCTCACCACATGCAGCCCTGGCAGTGGCCCCAGTGGAGTAAACCACCAGTATCCCCAGGCCCCTTTGCTCAAGTGCTGGGAAAATCCCCTGTGCGGTTGCCAGGGATCTGACGCCTTTGAAGAGCTGGTGGTTATCTTTATGGCTCCTTCTGGGCAGAGCCTAAGTATAAGAAAGGTCACAACCTACTCTTCCAGTCTCCCCGAGAAGAGAAAAAAAGGAAATGGCCAAGAATTACAGAAAGAGATTTTAGGTTGATAAATGAAGCCACTTCCCAGCCACGCTAAGCAGGGTGACAGCTTCTTGGACAGAGTTGTCCAATGGGCTCAAGTCATCCTCCCCCTCAGGGTTATAGGCCTTAATCTTGTTCTGACAAACCATGGGCTGCTTGGGATCAATTAAGTGTGACACAGTTGAGGTGTCCGGCCCTCTAGAGCCTTCAGTCAAGCTCGTGTTTGGGGCTGCATGTCAGGCACAAGTGTTTATATTTCCCACAGTGGGTTCTCCTAAGACATGGGCATCTGAAAATAATTTCACATTTGAAAAAACACATATTAATATGTTTATAATCACATATATATGTTTATTGTGTGCAAATTTATTAATGTCTCTATAGAATATTTTATATTATATTAAGTCTGATTGGCATCAGATAGTAAATTGGCTTACAAAGTAAATGAGTACATCTTGAACCACTGCATAGGTATATTTTAATATGTATAGTTTCTTCTTCTTCTTTTTTTTTTTTTTTTCCGAGAAGGAGTCTCGCACTGTTGCCCAGGCTGGAGTGCGGTGGCGTGATGTTGGCTCACTGCAACCTCAGCCTCCCGGGTTCAAGTGATTCTCCTGCCTCAGCCTCCCAAGTAGCTGGGATTACAGGTATGTGCCACCACACCCAGTCAATTTTTGTATTCTTATTAGAGACTGGGTTTCACCATGTTGGCCAGGCTGATCTCGAACTCTTGACTCGTGATCCACCCGCCTTGGCCTCTCAAAGTGCTGGGATTACAGGCATGAGCCACCGCACCCAGCCCCAAATGTATAGTTTCTAGTATGCTTATGAGGCCATAAATTGTTCTCTTATATATATTCAAAAATATATGTATATATTATGTGCTGCACATATAAACACCCACATCTCCATACATAAATACAGACCTCATGTTTAATTAGAATCTAAAAAATTACATCTGGTCTAAACTTTGAACTCTTGATCTAATCTGTATATTTATTTAAAGAATGATAGAATTGACTATTGTAATGTGATTTTAAAATTCTTTTAAGAATCAATGAAACTCCATGGTGACTATAATTGAGATGAAATGAGTGAAATAGCTCCTGCCTCTTTATACTGATTTTTTGTAAGTTGTAGGAACCAAATATTATGAACTTATAATATTTACTGTTCACTCAATAATTATTATTATTGTTAATAAAATGATGATAATGATAAGAGAAGCTACTATGCAATATTTACTATATGCCATACAATGCTAGGTACATTATAAACATCATATCTTTAAACCTCGCCAGCATCATAACCATTTATATATGAGAAATTCCAGTTTAAAGGTTATGAAATAGCTTCAGAGAAGTTCAGAGAACCACACTTCTACTCCAATATGCAACCAAGAGTTGAACCAAGCTCTGTTGAACACCAGAGAACTTGTTCTTCCTTCTACGCTGCACCACCCACCACATCACCCCATTATAAACAGATTGAGCAAAAGACTGGCCACTACTCCCTGCGCCTGTGAACATCTAGTCCCTGTGGTCATTTTTCAGACAAAGGAAACAGTCATAAATGAGGCAGAAATGCTACTATTTTTCCTGAATTAGACTTGATTTGTTAAGAGCTCAAGACAAATGTAGACACTGTGCTCAAAAAATGCTGACTGGGGTCATTTAATGAGTAATCCCATATTTCTAGGAAGGCATAAGAATGAGTTAGAAAGAAAATAAAAAGCAATAACTGAAAATTCTTACACTAGGAATATGTTTCTGTTTAGGAAGATGCTCTTTAACTTAAATGACAAAAAACTCAGAATACATTTTCCAAGTGATCATATTTTATTGTGAGACAGAGCTCTATTTTCAAATATCTGCTTTCAACTCTCACCAAAATATGAAAAGCAAAACTTCTATGTCACTAATGGCAGGTACATCTGGGTATAAAATGCAGCTTTCTAAATTTTGCTTCCCCAGCCAACTTCAACTTCAAAGCCTCATCCTCTGTGCAGAAAACCACTGGGAAGTGGGGGATTAGAGTCTGAAACTAGTCACCGTCCATCCAGGGATCCCTGAGCCACCAGCCTCCAGATAGCTTCACCACATCTGGTTCTGTCCTTCAACCCTTCAAGAAGTACTTTCTAGAGACAAACTGCCTCCTGTATGCCAAACATGAAAAGTGATAAAGATGACTGGATGGATGGCTACAAGGAGCTCACAGGTGTCTATCTGGAGGGAGAAACAGACACATAAACACGTGGTCACTAATACAGTGTGATAGGAGATGGAAGAGTGCTGCCTGCAGAGTGAAGTGTGGGTTTCCAAAAGGCAGTGAACCACTCAAATTAGGGATACAATTGTCCACAAGAAGCGTTGAGTCCACCTTGAGCTAGACCTGTTTGCCAAGAGAAAACAGAGCGAGTCCAAGCAAATGTATGAGACCACTCTCCATAATGTCTCACAAAGCAATGATTAGGCCTGAAGGTCAAAGTCAGAGGAGCCCCAGCCTCCCAGGGTAGCAGATAGAAAGCAAGATACCCGTGTATTCTGTACAATCCATCCCAAGGCCAGCTTCTCTCAGAAGCCTTTTTTATGCCCTGGAGTGGATGTGACCTCGCTTCCATGGAACTTCATAAGGCTTTCCTTGTACATCTCTCCTGTGACATGTGGCATCAACTCTAGCTTTCTTGTGGCACTTCCTTTGCCCACAGAATTTCCAGCCAGAGACAGAACCAGAAAATGCAACTTAGTTCAATGATTCAGCAAACCTTTACTATACACATACTCTGAGCCACGTACTGTGCTAAGAGTTGGAAATTAAAGTGCTCAGAGTCTAGTGGAGAAAACACACTCACTAATCTATATCATATCAATTGGTATCTGCTCTATGGCAGTGGGATCCCCGTGGCATAGTGGTATAGCAGGGGCATTGGGACACCAAGGGGTTCAGATAAACCTTCACACAATAGAAGGTGATGAATTTGGGTCTGGAAAGCTCCACTAGAGTTTCTGGACAAATTAGTTTAGTTTAAGTTTAAACTAGCTACTTCAAAAATACCAGGATCACAGGCTAGGCATAGACCTTTCACAGTATGGGAAGGGTCAGCTCATGGCCACACTGCAGCCCCAGGGAGTAGGGGAATGGAGGCTCAGCAGGGTGGCCGGGTGCCTCGCTGGCTGCCAGCACCATGGTCACTTGGCTGCTGGCCTCTACAGGCCGGCCAGGCACTACCACCAAACCTCCTTCTAGCTGCATTCCCTCTTTCTCCCATCTTCATCTGACTCTACTTAGGGACACCCCCAAGAATCTGGAAAATAAAAATAGATTATCCTGAAAACACTGTCTAAAAAAGTTGTGGCATTGTGGAAAACAGAGAAGGGCAGAGCCTTGGACTCAGTGTTCAGGAGCCCTGGTGCTCATCCCAGCAACCCAGCTCCTCTGCGAAGCGGCCATGAAAATAACCACAAAAAAAAAAAAGAGAAGGAAAAGAAAAGAAACAAAAGCATGTGGTTGATTTTGATCTAGACCTTAGCGTTGGGAAGACGCCTCCTGCATCCCTTAATAATCCTTGGTAGCACATGATCTAGTACCTCCTTTTCTGATGATTGCAGATCTTCAAGAAGGGATTTTTTTTATTACCAGTAAAAAATAAATAAATAAAATACCCACACAGATAGCAATAATCTCTCAGCTTTGATCTTTTCCCGCACCTCTACGTGTTTCCTGTCATTTGCTTTTTGCATTAACTCCATTTTACAGATGGGGAACCTGAGGCCCAGATCACGGAGACTCTTGCTCAAGGCCACAGAGCAAGTCAACGATGGGGCCTGCAGTAAAGGCCACCCTTCCTACCATGCTTGGCCCTTCCCCACTCTCTTGGTCTCAACGCCCATCACAGGAGGGATTTTCCCTCTGCTCTGATCTCGAGTTTTGCGGGCTCCAGGGTCTGGGAAGCTCCAGTGCAAACACCGACTGCCTTTTCTCCTGCACTGCCCCTTCTCTTTTCCAGGTCTGGCCCAGTCCAGGGATGCCTCTGATAAGCCAGCTTGGAGGCTTCAGAGGGGCGTCCACACTTGGGTGTGTGCAGTACGTGCACATGACGTGTCCATCTCATGGTTGTTTGCCTGCCTGTGTGGCCATGTTTTTGCGCACAAAGGTTGGAATGTTTCTTCCCTTTGTAACAGATGAGTGTGTGTGTGTAGATATCTCCATGGGGTGTGTGTGTGTACATCTGTCTGTAGGGTATGTATGTATGTAGATGTCCCTGTGGCGTGCGTGTGTGTGTGATGTTCCCATGGCGTGTATGTGTGTGTGTAGTATGTGCAGGTGTCTCTGTGCATGTAGTTCTGTGATATGTGTGTGGTGTGGTTTGTGTGTGTGCAGATGTCCCTGTGGGGTACTTGTGTGTGTCTCTGCAGTGTGTGTAGAGATGGAGAAATAGATAGAGATATGCAGATGTCTGAGATCTATGTGTATGCAGACATTCCTATGTATGTGTCACTAAGAGGTGTGTGTGTCATGGTGTGTGTCTAGCTCTAGGGTATTCGTGTCATGATGTGTGTGTGTGCATATCTCTATGGTGCTTGTGGCATGGTGTCTCTGTGTAGATGTCCCTGTGTGTGTGTGTGTGTGTGTGTGTGGTGTGTATATCTATATCTGTATTTATCTAGATTCATATAGAGATATGTATAGTTACAGAGGGGTCTCTGGAATATGTGTGTATCTCTAAGGTGTATATGTGTGTCTCTGTCATGTGTGAGGTGTGTGTCTCTGTGGCCTGTGTGGTATATGTGTGTCTCTATGGTGTGTGAGGATCTCTATGGTGTGTGAGGTGTGTGTGGTGTGTGTGTGTGTCTCTATGGTGTGTGAGGTGTGTGTGTCTCTATAGTGTGTGAGGTGTGTGTGTCTCTGTGGTGTATGAGGTGTGTGTGGTGTGTGTGTGTCTCTATGGTGTGTGAGGTGTGTGTGGTGTGTGTGTGTCTGTGGTGTGTGTGGCGTGTGTGTGTCTCTATGGTGTGTGAGGCGTGTGTGGTGTGTGTGTCTCTATGGTGTGTGTGTCTCTATGGTGTGTGAGGTGTGTGTGGTGTGTGTGTGTCTCTATGGTGTGTGAGAATCTCTGTGGTGTGTGAGGATCTCTATGGTGTGTGAGGTGTGTGCGGTGTGTGTGTGTGTCTATGGTGTGTGAGGTGTGTGTGACTCTGTGGTGTGTAAGGTGTGTGGTGTGTGTGTGTGTCTCTATGGTGTGTGAGGTGTGTGAGGATATCTATGGTGTGTGAGGTTTGTGTGGTGTGTGTGTGTCTCTATGGTGTGTGAGGTGTGTGTGGTGTGTGTGTGTCTCTATGCTGTGTGAGGTGTGTGAGGATCTCTATGGTGTGTGAGGTGTGTGTGGTATGTGTCTGTCTCTATGGTGTGTGAGGTGTGTGTGTCTCTGGTGTGTGAGGTGTGTGTGGTATGTGTGTGTCTCTGTGGTGTGTGGTGTGTGTTTTCCTCTGTGGTGTATGAGGTGTGTTTGTCTCTGTCGTATGTGAGGTGCGTGTGTCTCTGGGGTGTGCGTGGTATGTGTGTGTGGTGTGTGTGGTGTGTGTGGTATGTGTGTGTGGTGTGTGTGTGTCTCTGTGCTGTGTGTGTATCTCTATGCTGTGTGTGTAATGCACGTGTGTCTTTAAGTGATGTGAAGTGTGTGTCTCTATGGTGTGTGTGTGTGTGTCTCTGTGGTGTGTGTGTATCTCTATGCTGTGTGTGTGTCTCTATAGTGTGTGAGGTGTGTGTGTGTCTCTATGGTGTGTGTGTATCTCTATGCTGTGTGGGGGCGGGGGGCGGGGGGCATATGCTCCGCTATGATGACTGCTGAGCTGGCTTCTCCGGAGCGTGGGGACACAGCTGACACAGCAGGACACAGAGAGAAGCCTGGGGAGGCGGCCACACCAGCCGTTCTTGCTTACTCAGGCTGAGCCATGGAGCAGCTGCTCATGTGTTTTCCAGTGAGCAGAGTGTTCCCAGCCCTTGCTTCCCAGAACCCAGAGAGGGGCAAGGGCACTCACAGTCAGGGGGTCCTGTAGTCCCTCTGAGGGGTCCACATCCGACAGGCAGGGGCTGGTCCAGGAGGCCTGAAGACGTGCCCTGGAAGGCAGAGGAGTGCAAAGGGCCTGGGAGGCAGTGGAAGGGAGGTGGCATTCTGGCAGAACTGGAGCTGGGAGGCACCTGAGGCAGAGGCGCCTGTGAGGCACGGGGCAGTGAGTGTGAGTGTGTGTGTGTGTATATGCATGTGTGCTGTGTGTACCTGTGTGCAGTGTCTGTGCATATGTGTGTACACCCAGATGCATTTACCCACAGGCTCCACATAATTTCAATTCTTTCTCCTCCCACTTCAAGTTCACCAAGCAGCGTAATGCTTCACCTTCTGGCAGGGCAGGGACCACTCAGCTTCTTTCCTGCTTCTGCCCCCAACCCTCCCCAAGAAGATGACATCCTGTTACTGTACAGGCTGCCAGGGACTCCATCGTGCTATTGTCAGAACCCCAAGGCTCGGAGACTGTCAGAGGCCACACAATTTCCAGATAGGCAGGCCGGCCTTTTTTCCAGGTCACTTAAAATACTTTTATGGGTAGGTTTGCCTTGAACAAAATCCTGTTCAAATGGTACAAACCTGACGATAAACTCAACCTTTCAGATTACAGTTTAAACTTCACTGCCGCACCAGGGAGAAGAAAAAGCAGAATTCCTGTGCGTTTCAGAAAACCTCTCGGAATAATCCCTTGAGCCTCCCTACAGGGCTCCAGTCCCCTAATGGATGCTTTGATGACAGCAGATAAAGGCCAAAGGTACTTTTATTCTCTCAGAAATTGCTCCAAATAAACAACCTTGATGATTAAAGCAATAGAAATCCTCAGAAGATTGATGGCTTGGAAAATGCTGCTGAGTGAATGAATAACTTCCCCCTTTATTTCCAAGAGCTAATATTTGTCCACATTTGCTGCCTTTTAGGAAAAAAAAAAGTGCAACCTTTTTTTGTGCTGAGTTTGGTCAGGGACAAATAGGCACCATCCAGTTATGACTTGAACTTTAAACCAAACTCCATTTGTGAGCCACTGAGGCTGCTTGTCAGCGGCCTCCCACTTGTCAGGCACAGGTATGAGACCCGCACGCGGAAACACCATATCTGGGTGCAAACGTTTAGGGCGGGGCCAGGCACCAAAACTCCTTTTGAAGGCTTTAAAATGCTCCATGTGCTCTTCTGCTTCCCCCATGTCCCCAGGCACAAGTCTGGAAGCATTTCTCAATGTGCCTCCTGTGTCTAAACAAAACCTGCCGTCGAATGCCAAGAAGTAGCCTTCAGCCAACGATGGCAGCTGCTCTGTCCTGGCTGACCCAGGGGCTAGGGCTCCCCAGTCACTGCTGAGGGCTCCACTGGAGGATGAATTGCTGCCTTCAAGGGCTGGCTCTGGAGAGCAGGTGATGGGGTAGGCTCAGCATCAGGAATCAGGGACTCTGGGAAGAATCTGGCTCAACAGAGCACTGCAGAGGCTTGATGGGAGTGGCATATTGCCAAATTACCAAAGCCCAGAGGCCGAATCCCTGGCATGCACATGTACACTCCCCTGCTTCCCCACACTGGAGGGATAGATGTCCGCTTTCCCGAGCCAGCTGCACAGCTTTCTGAACAGTGTCCTCCGGCTAAGGAGCTTGACTCCCAGATCTCGGGATTTCTCACCACCCTTTCCCTGAGTGGCATCAACCTAGTTCCTGTCACCTTTCCTTCCATCCCATTTCAGCCACCCATTCCCATGACTTCACCTTGGAACTTGCATTCCCTGGAGCTTTCCCAGCCCTGAAACCCTGAGTGCAGATCTGTCTGTCTCTGATCACAGCTCTCAAACCCATCCAGCTTTTTCTCAGTTCATCCTGCTACCTCAGCGTTCCGCTAATTTGACTTCAGAGAGACCGCTTATCTCTTAGTCCCTCTGCTTTCCCCTTGTCCATCAGCTTGTCAGGAGGTCAGTTGTTCTTTTCTTTAAACTTACCTGGAAACATTAAAACCCTGGATCCAGCCAGCCAGCCATCTTCTCTGTACGCACATCGAGAGTGTGGTGCATTCCTGCAGAAAATCACAGGGACACAGGTTGCCATTGGTACAAACTGATAGTCTCTCCCCATCTGGGTCTGTGATGTTGCCTGAAACTTTTCCATGCCTCCCACGCCTGGCCCATGCCCATCCTCCTCAGTCCATATCAAATGACCCTCTCTCTCTCAGACCTCCCACCTCACGAGCTGGCCCTGACTAAGAGCAAGTGTCAGTCATGGTGTCACACACAAATTAGAAACCACAAGAAAGACGGGAATGTAAAGTAGTACAACCACTATGGAAAACAGTGTGGAGATTCCTTAAAGAACTGAAAGTAGAACGACCATTTGATCCAGCAATCCCGCTACTGGGTATCCACCCAGAGGAAAATAAGTCATTATACAAAAAAGATACTTGCATATGCATGTTTATAGCAGCACAATTCACAAATTGCAAAAATGTGGAACCAGCCCAAATGCCCATCAATCAACAAGTGGATAAAGAAACCGTAGTATACATATACAGTGGAATACTACTCAGCCATAAAAAGGAATGAATTGATGGCATTCACAGAAACCTGGATGGGACTGGAGACGATTATTCTAAGTGAAGTAACTCAGCAATGGAAAATCAAACATCGTATGTTCTCACTCATAAGTAGGAGCTAAACTGTGAGGATGCAAAGGCATAAGAATGATACAGTGGACTTTGGTGACTCAGGAGGAAAAGGTGGGAGGAGGATGAGGGATAAAAGGCTACAAATTGGGTTCAGTGTATACAGCTGGGGTGATGGGTACACCAATATCTCACAAATCACCACTAAAGAACTTACTCATGTAACCAAATATTGCCTGTTCCCCCAAAAACCTATGGAAAGAAGGAAGGAAGGAAGAAAGGAAGGAAGGAAGGAGGGAAGGAAGAAAGGAAGGAAGGAAGGGAGGAAGGAAGGAAGGAAAGAAGGAAGGAAGGAAGGAAAGATTCCTAGAAAGAAAATCCAACAACATCTTGCCGAATCCTCCACAAACTTACCTACATCCTGTTCTTTCCAGTCTTCCTCAAGTTTTACTAGAAGAGTCAGGAGTTCTCCTGTCTAAGCCAGACCTTCTAGCCTTATTATTTCCTTGAAATTGCTTTCAAGAACCTCTCTGTTGCTAAGCCATCGGAGGTGTTTCTGTCGTCTTCTTCTTCCTTGAATTCTGCAGTGTTCAAAACTACTGACCCTCTTCCTGCTCCGGGTTTCTATATTCCCATGCTCTTCAGTTCTTCCTCCTACCTATGCAAGGAGCCCTTCTCAGCCTTCTCCTTCCTTGCCCTTGTCAAGGTGGCTGTCTTTTTAGTATACACTTTCAGAGCATTTTCATCTGCTCTGGAGCTCACAGAATGGGTTTGTGCTGAGGACTCCAAATAGGTGTTTCCAACTCCAGAGATTCTCCTGACGTCCAGACAGATGCATTTCTCTCCTGGCGAGCGTCTCTACGTGGACACCCTGCAAGCATCTCACACCTTGTATGGTCAAAACTGAACTTTATCTTCTTCCCACCCTAAACCTGGCCCTTCTCCTGGGTTCCTCCTCTCCATGGTTGAGTCGATCCCATCCTCTTCCTGATTTCTAAAGCCAGAAACCTGGGCATGGTTTTTTATTTCTTGCTTTTCCACACTCCTCAGACTAAGCTGACACCTGTTCCTTGCATGTGTGCCCGTTTCCTCTTCTATTCTCTACAGTCCTCGAGGGCAAGGACATATCTGAGTTATCTCAGCAGTTCAGCACCCAGCTTCTTGCCAGGGACTAACAAAGCTCTCAATAAATGTTGAGTGAATGAGAGAACCAGGATGTTGTCACCCTCCTGATACAGATGACTGAGGCTCAGAAAAGTGAAATAGGTTGACGAAAGTCATACAGTTATCAGAGGAGCCAAGCTTTGTCTAAATCCAAAACCAAACACTTCTCCTTTTGTCCTATGTCAGGTTCAGGGATGTGGCATTTTCATATGCCAACAATTCTGCCCACACTTATGGAAAGTTAAAAGCTAAACATATAAGAAATTAGTATTTGAACTTGGAAACAAACTTTCACTTTAATCTCTGAAACTTTAGGATTCCATTTTGTCTCTGCCATGATTTCTGCCAGATACAGCCCAAGGCCTTCCATAGCATTGTGAAAGCTGCCTTAATTACTTCTGCCTGCCACTGGCTCCAGCTCTTCAGCGAACCTCTCCTTCATCCTTCTCTCTAGGTAGTAGCTACATGCCACCTGGCAGTTGTGACCATAGCTCCATATTATCAAATGTGCTCCATCTCTAATGGAGAACAGTGGAGCCTAGAGCTGCCACAAACACATGCACAAACGTACACATACGCACACACACATATGCACACACACACACACATACACACACACTAGGCTGTTCTGGGTAGAGTCAAGGCTGCTGTGCCCAAGCTTCACTATATTGTATAGAAATTGGCTGGGGCCCTAAAGAGGCCAGACTGTTCTTGAGCAACTCTTATGTGCCAGGTCTTGCAGAATAGGAAGAAATGTCCAGCAGGCTGGACACATGGCTCAGGGGCATGTCTAAGTGCGGGGGAAACAGAATTTATTGGCTTGTAACTAGCAACTGCAAGCAGGAGCTCAACCAGGGACAGCAGGAAGAGTAAGATGAAGGAAGGACCAGAGAGAGACTCCCAGGGAATACCGATCTTGGGAGAAAGAAGGCAGGCCTATAGAGATTGGGGGAATCGTCAGAGGATGAGAGCACTAAGATGATAGATGTCATGAAATCTAAAAGATGGGAATGGTCAGTGGTGTCAAATTCACCTGAAGTCCCTGAAATAATGATAGCAACAATTACAATAATGAGGAGGAAGAGGAGGAGGAAGGAAAAGGGAATCATTTGCTGAACTGTTATTCTGTGATAGGTCTGTGTACCCAGCAGTTCCATACATTTAGCACTGATTCTTAAAACAACCTAATAGGCACTAAGAGCTAAGCATTAATATCCCTATCTTACTGAAGAAGGACTGAAAAATATCCACTGAATTTGGGCAGCAGTAAGGTAACCTTAGCAAATCGAATCTTATTAAAGGAGTGTGACTGGGAGACAGATTGAAATGGGTCGAGCAGCAAATGGGAGTTAAGAGTGGAGAGAGACAATAACACTCAAGAAGTTTGGGTGACAAGGAAAGAAGTGAGATCATAGCATGACTAGAAGGAAATAAAGTGTGGGAAGAGACTGTGCTTTAGTGTAGAAGAGGCTTCAACAGATTTCTGGTCTGAGAAGAAAGCAACAGAAAGGGGATTTAAGACACAGGAAGGAGTAGTTGTGGTGAGAAATTAATGCACCTGATATGGTGAGGAAACTCAGGTCAAGGACGTGAGAAGAGATGTCCTCAAGCAGGAGGAAAGGGTCCTCATTCCCAGAGACTAGAGAAAAGGAATTGAAGAGGGGTGAATGTATTAAGTTAACTCATGACTGATAGATGCGAAGTCCAGCGAGATGTTGGAATTTTCTTTCTTTTTTTTTAGATGGAGTTTTGCTCTTGTTGCCCAGGCCGGAGTGCAGTGGCACAATTTCGGCTCACTGCAAGCTCCGCCTCCTGGGTTCAAGCGATTCTCCTGCCTCAGCCTCCCGAGCAGCTGGGATTACAGGCGCCCACCACGTCTCGCTAATTTTTTGTATGTTTAGTAGAGACGGGATTTCGCCATTTTGGCCAGGACGGTCTCAAACTCCTGACCTCAAGTGATCCACCCACCTTGGTCTCCCAAAGTGCTGGGATTACAGGCATGAGTCACCACACCGGGCCTCTTTTTTTTTTAGAGTCTCACTCTGCTACCCAGGCTGTAGCACAGTGGTGTGGTCATAACTCACTGCAGCTTCAATCTCCTGGGCTCAAGTGATTCTCTGACTCAGCCTCCTGAGTAGCTGGAACAACAGGCGAACGCCACCATGCCTGGCTGGGTTTTTAATTTTTTGTAGAGATAGAGTCTTGTTACATTGCTCAGGCTGGTCTGAAACTCCTGGCCTCAAGTGCCACTCCTGCCTCAGCCTCTCAAAGTGCTGAGATTATGGGTGTTGCCACCATGGTAGGACACAATGTTTTTAATGAAGAAAGAATAGGAATTTTGTTTGAGAGTGAAGAGCTGGAGGAAGATAAAGAGCTTGAAGAGAGAAGCAAATGATGTGCTTCTTAAGGGGTGAAAGAGAGTGGAAGCAGTCCCCAAAATGAAAAGTCCCACTGATCACAGAGCACACAAATGTGTACTGGCTGTAGATACATTGTTTTATTCCTTCAGCTGCCCAGATGTTGGAGCCGAGAGGCAGGTTAATGTGCCGATCTCAAGGCGGAATACATCTAAGTGCCTTTAGTGGAAGGAACCAGATGCATGGTGAAGATGAAATGAGAAGGCCTAAGTTGAATGCCAGCACAGCATTCGACACATCTCATATGCTCTGTGAATACCAACCTCCTCCCTCTGCAGAGTTTTCTCAGCAATAAAATGGGGAAGCTGTATAGAGATTGCCAGCTCTGACAATTTAGACTCACGCGGCCATCTCAGAGAAGTCTAAATTCAGTGTTTCTCAGTGTGTGGCCATATGTCCTACCTCCAGCTAGAGAGTTTCTAGAAATCCAGATCTGGGGGCTGCTGCCTACAAAGTCAGAATCTTTGTTGGGAGGGTCCGGGTCTCTACATTTTAATAAACACCACCAGGGATTCCTTCACCAGGTCAAGTTTGAGAGTTACTACTTCCATGGTTAGGTACCCTGGCCCCAACTGACTTATGCAGAAACGTTATTTGCCTGTTGACTCCAGTATTCATTGTGAAATGATGACAAGAAACACCAAGACCAGGTATGGCGATATTGATGTGCAATGATAGAATTCTGGATAAGTAAGAATCCCAGGATGGAATTTAATATTAGCTCTTTTCCTGGGACTTTCCTGGTAAAATGTTGGAGCGAGTGGCTTGTTTATGGCCCACTGAGTCCTGGATTTACTCCTTCTCTTGGATGTGGGCATTTGTCAAAATGCCCTTTAGTCCAGCTTGACTCTTGTCTGTTCTGGGTTTTTGTATGTCAACAGCATGTCTTATTCATGTTTCTCTCCTTCACCTTGCCTGGCCACTAGGAAAGGATCCTTAGGAAAAGGTCAACACATGTTTCCTTATGATTCTCCTTTATTCTATTTGTGTACCTCTTTAAAGCTCACAGAGTACTTCAACACTCGTTATTCTCATACCCTACCATTCTGCAACTTGTATAAAGGTGGTCATTTTCCTTCAGAATTAAGTTAACAAAAGCCCAAAGTGATTAGGCAGTGAGCACATTGTCAAAAGATATGATAGTAGCAGAGCTGTAGGTCACACCATGGTTTTCTGTCTCCAAGTCTTGAGTTCTGCTCAGACAAATAATGAGTTAATTAATTAATTAATTAAAAGCAGATCGAGACCTTCTGTTACCAGACTCTGTAGCCCACATCCTCTGAAGCCTCCCTGGCCAACACCTCCCCAGCTCCAGTCCCTTTCCCAGTCCCTCTTTAGGTTGAGTGTCAGCCTCTGGCCTGGAAGGAGGCCAATAGAGCTGTGCACTGGCCTGGAAGGGCTTTCAGAGGAGCATCTCGGCACACAGGGGTCATGTCACCCTGGCATGGGCAACCACGATCCTTCCGGGCTCTCACTCCCCAACTCTTTACTCCCCTGGAACATGACACCTGATATTGCTATTAAGGCTGCAGTAGAGACCAACAAGAACACTGTGGGGAAGCAAAGGTCACGGCAGAAGCCCATGAACGGGGCTGAAGGAATTTGTCCTGGTGCTGAAGTGCCTTGTCACTTCGGCAGTCGGTTAAAAGGTGTTGGACTATGTAAATGGTTGCTAACTTCATGACTAAAGTTTCAAACCTAATTTTTTGAAACTTTAGAAAATATATTTGAAAAGCTCTTTAAATGGAAACTTTTTCCCTGCCAAGTTCCACCATAGCACACATTTTTACAGCCCTTATAATTCCTTGAAAAAACTCAATGTATAATAGAAGTGCTGACAGATGCTGGGCCATAGCAGCTCGCCTAACAGCTCAGCTGTATTTATTTTTCATTACACTTGACTCTAATTGGTGCCAGTTTAACTGTGGCTCATACTAGCAAGAACCTTTTAACTCAAACATCAGCCCAGGGAAATTGGCTTTTTCCCCCTATCTTGGCTCTTAATATTAGCAACTGCCCATATTTCTTCCTCATCAAACTATCTTTACGTTTTTTGAGAAGCAGTCAGAGTCATTCTTTAAAAAGAAAAGGATTCAAAATAAAATACATATCTACATTCTAATCCAGGCTTTTTCATCCATCAAGTGACCTTTGGAAAGTGGTTTGAACTTTGTGAACCTCAGTTTCTTCATCTATAAATAGAAACCATAAGTCCTGGCTTGCACAGTGTGGTGACGGTTAGATATAAACCCAGCCGAGTGCCTGGAGCATAATAGGAGTTTGATACTTCATTTTATTGTATTCATACTCCATTCATATTCTATTCATATTCTAAAGTATGAGTATTATAATTAAGGTTGATAATATTTTACATAGCAAAGAACGAACTGTCTGATTTGTTCGTGTGGTGTTCTCTGCTACTGTGATGACTTGCAAAGCCACTAACACACACCTGGGGAGTCACTTTGACAATCCCACACAGACCATTCAAAAGCTAGCATTCCAAGGCAAGACATGGGCCTAAGGTTGAAGGTTGCCTGGGTCTTCCCAGCTGCTCTGAGATGCTCTTGGGTGTGGGAATTCTTCAAATGACTCTCAAGTGGCCTCCTTACAGATGTTGACAGGTCCAATCAAACTCTCTTCTCCTGGGCCCAGAGATGAAAGGAAGTGACAGAGGTGTCTGAGAAATTAAAAAGGTGGCCCAGATAATCCCAAGGAAGTTCTCTTGGAACAGAGCGACACACAGCCCAAGTTCTTGAGTTCTGGGTGGTATATATCCTCAAAAGAGGCAATGTTCACACAAAGACTGTCTGCTCATTTAAATAAAACTCTTGAATCGAGGTCAGAGGCCCTTTAGCTGTAGCAAAGGGCCCCCTAAGGAAATCCAAAGTGGACTTACTCTGTCCACCCACCTGGGTTTACTGTATAAAAGGCAGGGGGAAGAAGAGCTTTCTCATTTAGTAACTGCTATGCACAAAGAACTTCACTTACGTTACCCTGACTGAGCCTCACATCAACTGCTTCAAAGCCAATATGATTATTTTGCTGCTGAGGATGTGAGACTTGGAGAGGTAAAGTGGCTTATGAAAGCCATACTGGAACAGAAAGGGCCTGCATTTGAACCTCGGCCTCCAAGAACGAAAGCTCTTGACCACACTCCCAGATGTGAAGGAATCGAAGGAATTCAAGAACTCAAGAAAATTTTATTTTATTCCACAAAAACATAACAGCCAAAATAGGAATTTTAAAATAAAAAACAGAATCACACAGAATTCTACCACCTTATCCAACCACTTTTTATTTTCTATGCTTCCTTCATCCTGGGCAAAGGCAGAGCTGTAATTACACAGGTGAGGATGATTTCAGGAAAGATGTATTAAGCACCTACTGTATGCAGTAACTCCTGGATCTAGATGGTACATGCCAATGTTAGATGACATGTTATTTGTCATGTACTGGTTGAGTTGACATAAGTAGCCATCAGGGTCCCTAAACAAGGCAGAACACGATCTACTGATCGTGCAGCACAAACCTGAACAGAGAGTGTTAAAAAGAGGAAGACCACTGTGGGCTATCAGCATGATCTTGGAGGTTTTAAGGAGCCTGACGGCTGTCCTATGTAACTGGCAGCAACAGTTGAGCCCAAGAGTCCCTAAATTTTGGTACAGAAAGGAAGAGACATACGGAAGTGATGAATTGCCTCTTCCAAGGTAAGCTCAAAGTAGTGAGTGGACTTTTGCTTTTATTATACCACTCACATTTTTCTGCTCATCAATATAATGTATATTCATTATAAAAAACTTAAATTTTATGAAAGTATTTATTTAGCAATTTGACCATTCATAGTAACACCATCCGGAGAACAGTTGGTATTATTTTATGTTAGTTCCTTCCAGCCTGTTTATATGCCTATTTTTACTTAGTTGAGATTATAGTACAAGTACAGTTTAAAAATCTTATCTTTCCAGTTAACATTATAACCTTAGAATTTTCAAATGTCATTAAAATTATTTCAAAAACATTAAAAGGCTGCATAAAATTCCATGGTATGAAAGTACTGAATGTGGTTAACCATTTCTCTATGCTTACTATTAAGTTGTTTCAAAAGTTTTACTATGAAAATTAACGCTGGCTTTCAGTCAAGATGGTCCTGTGAGTTCCCAAATAAACCACTTTATTCCACCTTTGTACTCCAGATGCATATCATAATAGATAATTGGTTAAAAATATGTCAAAAGAGAACCTTAACAATATACTTAACAATAACACTGTTAACTCCATGAGGTGTAAATGATGGAACTATATCACTGGGAAGATGAAATGTAATCTTTCAGGACCCCATAACCCAAAAAGGCAGAAGAAGCAAGAATTAGACATGTTCAGAAGTAGATATGGAAGATCAGAGCAAACATGACTACCATGTGTGGTTGGCCAGGTGGTGCACTGCCCAACTGCTAGAGATGCCAGTCATAGCATCATATAAGTAAATGCTTCTCACCCTCATAACGGCCCCCCAACCTCTGCCAAGAAGTTGTGTTAAGAGAGAGTTTCCTTATATGATGAACAGTAATGGAAATCTACCACTTATGAACAGGAGGCACAAAGAGCAGCAAACCCTCCCCAAAGATACAGCTGATACTAACTTGCTGCCAAGAAACTAGGAAAGAAAGAGATATCTGATTGACCAGTACATTGGACTAGCTTTCCCCTGTTTCTGAAAATTGCTTTACAGAAACTTTACAAGATGAAAACTCAAACCGCTAATAATAATACATGACCTAGTTCTGAACAAGGAAAACTACTGCACCAGGGAGAAGGCACTATAAAACTGCCAGAAACCATAGAGAAAAGAAGAAATGAAATTCACACAGAAGACAAGTTTGCAATTCAAATTATCGAAGAACATGGAAGAAATTTGCATCATAAAAGATGATGACAATTATAAAATAACATTAAAAGCACTCATTCATTGAATGCTCCCAATATGCCAGAGACTATTGTGTTTTACATGTATTTTATCTCTTTTGGTACTAGAACAATCAGATATTGACTTGAAAATCAGAGAAACCAGAAAAACTCAATGAAACCCAAAGCTGATTCTTGAGAAGATCAATACAATCAATAAACCTTCAGTCAGACTGATCAGAAAAAAAAAAGACACAAACTACAAATATCTGAGAGGTGACAATGCCACAGACTCTACATATAATAAAATAATGAGAAGAAAATATTATTAATAAATTTATGTCAAAAAATGTCAACTTAGATGAAATGTTCTTTGTAGGGACATGGATGGAGCTGGAAGTCATTATCCTCAGCAAACTAACACAGGAACGGAAAACCAAACACCGTGTGTTCTCACTGATAAGTGGGAGCTGAACAATGAGAACGCATGGACACAGGGAGAGGAACAACACACACGGAGACCTATTGCGGGTGCGGAGGGAGGGAGAGCATCAGGATGAATAGCTAATGCATGCAGGATTAATACCTAAGTCATGGGTTGATAGGTGCAGCAAACCACCATAGCACATGTTTACATGTGTAACAAACCTGCACGTCCTGCAGATGCATCCTATAACTTAAAATAAAATAAAATTAAAATTTTTAAAAAGTAATATAATGTGATTAAAGCAGCATAATTAATTAAAGCAGATAGACGAAAAAAAGAAAGTCCACAAACAAATTCAAGTATCAACAGGAATTTAGGATATTATAGCTGTGGCATTGTAAATCAGTGGTAGAAATATAGACCTCTCAGATGTTAGGATCACTGGTTTCAGTTGTAGGAGAAAAACAGGTTCTTACATCAAGCCAAAAACAAAAATGAATTTTGAATGGATTCTTCTCCATTTGGGTGGCTAATACATATCTCAAACTTAATGAGACCAGAACTTCTGAACTATCCACACCCTTCCTCAATTCAGCTGATGGTGACTTTATCCACTCGATTCAAGTGCTCAAACTAAAATCCTTGGAATTATCCTTGACTCTTTTTCTTAATTTACACATTTAATTCATCAGAAAATCTCGTTGGCTCCATCTTAAAAATAGGTCCAAAATCCAACTAGTTCTCATGACCCCTACCACCACTGCCCTGGCATTACTACCATCATTTTTTGCCTGAATGAATGCAATAGTTTCTCTGTCTCCACAATTACTCTTTTATGATCTATTGTCAACAAAGGAGCCAAAACATATTTTTAAGTATATTTAACCAAGTCAGTAATCAGCTCCAAACCTTCTTCAATGACTTTCTGTTTGACTCCTTGTATGAGCCTACAAGGTGCTCTAGGATCTGACTCCTGTAAAGTCTCTGACAGTCACTCAGTTCGAACCCCACTGGCCTCCTTGCCATTCCTTAAGCCCACCAAGCATGGTCTCCCACTCAAGGCCTTTGCACCTGCTCTTCCCTCCAACTTGACGTCTCATGGGAATCCACCTGACTCACTCATTTACCTCCTTCAAGTCTTTGCTCAAGCATCACCTTGTTAATGAGGTCTACCCTGACCATCCTGTTTAAAAGTTTAACCCACTCATTCTGAAACCCCACCTCTCTCAATTGCCCTTATTCCACTCTAGTTTCTTTTTTTCCACAGCACGATCACCTTTTAAGTAATCTATAATGTTCTTGTTTAAAACTTCTTGTATATATGGTCTATCTCCTTCCAGCAGAATATAAATTCCATAAAGCCAGACATATTTCTCTGTTTTATTAACTGATACAGCCTAAGTATGTAGAACATTGCCTGCATATAGTAGATGCTCAACAAATATTTGTTACATAAATGAATTACAGATTTATTGTAAAATACAAAACCTTGAAATAATTAGAAAAGTAAAGTAATTTTTGCAATTATGTAGTTTTAAACACAAAAAAATTACATATGGCTGATACAGAGTAGTTAGAGGTATCTAAAATTAAAAAAATTAGAAGGACATATACCAATTTCATATTAATTATTTCCTCAGTGGATAGAGTAGAATGGGTATTAACATGAGAACAAAAGGGATATAAACTTTACTTAAACTTTTATATTTTTTAAAATATAAAATAAATGACAAAATATTAAACTTTTCTTTAAATTTTTGGTAATGAATACCTTATTATTTTTCATATTAGTCTTTTTACTACTCTATTTTCTTAAGTTAGTAAAAATACAAGGGAAAAATTCTGTAATGAACATTCTGGTCCAAAATTATTTATTTCTCTAAGATAAATAAATGGAAATGAAGCTGTAGCACGGATTCAACACATTTTAATTAATTGAGTATTATAAACTTAATTTCAAATTGCTTACCAGAAAAATTTTGCCAATTTTAATTCTTAATTATAGTGAATATGTGTAAAGAGCTATCTCATTGCATTCTTCCCCATTTAAATAGTATAATTTTTTCACCTTTGCTAAATTATTGTATAAAAATTATTGACATCATTTTGATTATTTCCAACATTGATTTTTTCATATATTTACTTATATTTATTAGAAATATTTAAGTATGTTTCATGCATTCATTAGCCATTTGTCTTATTTTTTCTGTTAACTTTATTGTTTCATACTCTTTGCTGATTTTTCTAACCAGGTGCCAGTTCTTATGTGTATAATAAAAACTTTATTTAACTTTTGCCCTATTGTTACTGCTACAATTATTTTTTCAGCTTACTGTTCGTCTATCAAGTATTATTTTATTTTACTATTAAGCTAAGCTTACAAGTTATTTGTCATGTGAATGACATTATCACTATTAAGCTTAAGAAATGTTTCCTCAGTCTGGGCGTGGTGGCTCACGCCTGTAATCCCAGTACTTTGGGAGGCTGAGGCAGGCGGATCACCTGAGGTCAGGAGTTTGAGACCAGCCTGGCCAACATGGTGAAACCCTATCTCTACCAAAAATACAAAACTTATCTGGGTGTGGTGGTGGGCACCTGTAATCCCAGCTACTAGGGAGGCTGAGGCAGGAGAATCACTTGAACCCAGGGGGCAAAGGTTGCAGTGAGCCGGGATCGCGCCATTGCACTCTAGCCTGGGTGATAAGAGTGAAACTCCATCTCAAAGAAAAAGAAATGTTTCCTCATTGAAAGACTCCAAAAACAATTTGTCTAATTTTCATGAATTTTAACTTTAATTCCTTTTATTATATGACATAATACATTTTCTTCATCCTTGATTTTCAAGTTTCCTATCAGGGACATAGGTGTGGATTTGTTTTATATTTATTTTGCTCAGAACTTAGCGGGTACGTTTTACCGAAGGGTTATACCCATATTCAATTCTGGAAACTTCTCAGGCATTGCTTTGCCACTATTTTCATTAGGTGCATCCTGGAGGTGTGCTTCATTAGATGTGATTCATTATTTGTATTCTAACTTGATTATGTTCTAACAGTTAACCTTTTGGCATAATAGCATTTATTTTAAAGCTCCACCCCCTCAATGGTCTTATAATAGAAGCTTTATTATATATTAAATGATACAGTGTATCAGGATGTATTATGATCACCTCTTTCATTCTGTCCATTTATCTCCCTTTTCTTGCTTCTGTACCCCACTGTTTTTACTATAGAGCATATCCCATACTGACTTCACAGCTCTTTCCTCTGTAATCTTACACATTTCCATCTGATATTTTTCTGCTGCATATGGTAGTGAAATAAGACAAGTTAAACTCAAGTGTTGGCCTCAGGGGTTTACTTGAAGTAAGAAAATATAAACAATATCCATGCAACAATTAATGATAATTAAATGCAAACTGTTGTATCATTAGTCAAAAAAAGCATTATCAGACCAGACGCGGTGGCTCATGCCTGTAATCCTAGCACTTTGGGAGGCTGAGGCGGGTGGATCTTTTGAGGTCAGGAGTTCAAGACCAGCCTGACCAACGTGGCCAAATCCTGTCTCTACTAAAAATTAAAAAAAAAAAAAAATTAGCCAGGGGTGGTGGTTTGTGCCTGTAATCCCAGGTACTCGGGAGGCTGAAGCAGGAGAATCTCTTGAACCCAGGAGGCAGAGGTTGCAGTGAGCCAAGTTCGCACCACTGTACTCTAGCCTGGGTGACAGAGTAAGGCTCCATTTCAAAAAAAAAAAAAAAAAAAGAAAGAAAAGAAAAAGAAAAAAGCATAACTAAACTTTTTGCCAATTTTTTCAAAACTTTTTGCAAGTATTTTCTAAATTTCTGCACAGATATATATGGCTTTCTACATGACTCTGTAAGGGTTCTAGAAAGATGTGAAGAATAACAGCAGAAAAAGTAGATTCTGGATAGGTGAACTACATGAACAAAGAAAGGACTGTAGAAATAAAAGTGCAATAGAGGGGGAGAGTGCTTTAGAAAACAATAGGCACCAAGGTCAGAGAAGCAGAATGGGTGAACAAAGACTCCATCATAGCAACTTTACCACGTAGATGGTAATTTCCTAGATTGTGATGTTGATTATCCCACCTATTTCCATTTTTCCAGAGCTATTCCATTCATTTACTTACTCTGCAGAGTTACTGAGACCCAATTAGGTAGTAGTGATACAGAAAGGCATAACACTTAACCCCAGTCATCAGGGTCCCCATAGTCTTGTTTGCAAGGTGACACCTACACTGATGACCAAAGATGTAAAAGGCAATCATTGGAGGCAGCTCCAAGAGTAATGAGAGCAGAGGAGAGGGAGTGATCATGCAACTCAGTGTGGGAAGGCTTTCTAAAGGAGATAACATTGAGCTGAGTCTCAAAGGTTGGAATAAACCCACTATGCAGGGGGAGAAAAAGGTGTATGTGAGCAATGCAAGCAGGAGGAAACGCATAGGCAAAGGAGCAGAGGTGTGAAGTGTGTGTCAGGCTCAAGTAGTCCCAATACATCCACCTTAGCAGGACCCCAGGAGAAACAGGCAGCGAAATTCTCTTTCCACTCAGCACACCTGGAGGCTTGTGCCCTGGCTTACATCAAGGTGATAGATCATGGTGATTTTTGAGCAGGAGAGTGGCCATCTGAAAACAACATCTAGCACATGATGGAAACAACAACAGTACATGATGGATTGGAGCTAGAGAGAAGCTGGATGAGAAGATTAAGAACATCGCTGTCCAATAGAAGTAGAATGTGAGCAATATATGTCATTTAACATTTCCTAGTGACCATATTTTTTAAAATAAAAAGAAGCAGGTAAGTTGATTTTAGTAATGTATTTTATTTAACCCATATATTTCATGTATTTTATTTACTCAATGCACAAAATCACCAATGAAATATTTTACTTTTTTTTTTTTTTTTTTTGAGGCAGGGTCTCAGTCGCCCAGGGTGGAGTGCAGTGCTATGATCACAGCTCACTACAGCCTCAACCTCCTGAGCTCAAGCAATCCTCCCACCTCAGCCTCCCTAGTAGCAGGGACTACAGGCATGCACCAACATACCCACCGAATTTTTGTATTTTTTTTTAAAGACCAAGTCTCCGTGTGTTGCCCAAGCTAGTCTAAAACTCCTGGATTCAAGAGATCCTCCTGCCTTGGCCTCACAAAGTGCTGGGATTATAGGCATGAGCCACCATACCCAGCCTTACTTTTTCATACTCATTTCTTCAGCATATATTTTACATTTACAGCATATCTCAATTTGGACTCGCCTTATTTCAAGTGCTCAATAGCCACACGTGGCTAGTGTCTATGAAACTGGACACTACAGAGTGAATAAGAATGGAAAAGAACAAAGCAGACAGAAATGTTAAATGTAGGCCTATCTGATTTGTTGATAAGTCATGGAAATGGGCTAGAAACGCAAGTATTGAGCTTCCCAGGCTTACAGGGAAGAAGAAACCAGAATCATTGAGCTTTGGGAGCACACAGTTTGGATAAGAGAATACTTTGGTTGAAAGGACTTGGGTGAAAATGAACATCCTCAAGAATTTTTCACCACCAGTTCCATTAGATTATTTTCATAAACAGGGAAAGTACTTTCAAGAAGCAAAGGAAGTCAAATGCATTCAGGGAACCAAATGAGCGACTGCTATTTAAATCTGATCACTCATAGCAATAATGCAAAAAAAAAAAAAAAAGAAAAATAGCCAATATTTGTAGAATGCTTTTTGTTGAGTGCCAGGTACAGTTCCAGCACTTGTATTAATTAAAATAAATTTTGTCTTCATGCTAACCCTGTATTATTATAGATATGTTATTCATAGGTATACATAGGACATAGGTATGTATGTTAGCATAATTCATATTTTGCAGATGAAGAAATAAGTTAGAGAGACATCAAAAAACTTGATCAACCTCTCACAACAAGTTAAAAGCAGAGCTGGGATTCACCATCATTATTTTATTCAATCTTTGCAATAATTAGACAGGTGTTATTAGCCACACTTTACAGATGTCCAAACCAAGGCTGCAAGAGCATGGCATACAAATAGAAGCCAGATTTAAATCCTAGTCTGTCTAATTCGAAAGCCCTTGTTTTTGTCCAGCACCATTTTGAGATATTTAATATAAGGCAACCTTAGTCCACAAACAAGTTAAAAAAAATAAGATTATTGGTTAGATTCTTTGGACCATGACCCAAGTGGACTTTTTTTTTAGGTAGACTGTTTCCACCTGAGTTTCTAAGAGTTTTCCAAGAATTTAGACGACTCCTTCTGGAAAGAGTCCAGATGCTATAAGGCATCATATTTCCAACCAAGGTTAGAATTGCATCTATCAGAACCTTAATTGTACGTAATAGTGATATTGATGACACCTTCAAGTTACAAGGAAATTCGAATAACTATTTGAACTCTAAGAAGTCACCAAAAGAAACAACTTCCGCTTTTCCTGTAGAAATGGGAAAGGAGTGCTCACTTGCAAAAACTTGACTGGATGAGTTAAAAAGCTGGCAGAACATTGACGAGGACAAGGGCGTCTACCTGCCCCTCCTTGTGTGTCAACCTGAGCACAAGACTCTTCAGCAAGTTAAACTCTGAAAGTCTCAGGCCTGCTCATGAGCAAGTGTCATATGCCTTGGTCTTTGGCACCATGTGACTCTGGTTTAGGTGCTGTGTCAGCCCTGTTTTTGTTTAGTTTTTAATTATTTGAATTTAACTTATATATCATGTCTTCTCTATTCACCAATGGGATAGCCTAGAACTTGGCATCTAGGAAAAAGTTGCAAAATATATAAAACCTTTCTGGAGACAAGGAGTTGTTTTTGCTCAGAAGTCATGCTTTCATGTTTGTGGTGGTGTTGCTGTTATTTATGTTGTGTGTGGTCATATCTCACCATTGGATTATGGGCCTCTGGTTTCAGGCTATTTCTTGCTCATCACAGTATTTCATTCATGTCTGGCAACATCTTACATGTCATGGACTCTATAAAACGCTGATGAATAAATGACAAATTTGAGATAATGAAAAGATGAGATTTGAAATTTAAAAACTCAAGTCCCAGACCCAGCTGCCACCCTGACTGAGCCACTGTATTCACCCAGGTCTCCTAGAAGGTAGAGCCTGAGGCCAGGATGAAAGTGTTGATACTCTGTGTGGAGTTGTAAGGTCAAGGTAGTGAGAACGAGGAAAAGGATGGAAATAAAGTAAGTAAGGAGCAGGGTAATGTCGTGTGATACATCACTACCCTGCCACCCAGGGCTTTACCCTGAGTTGTTAGAAAACATAGCAGCTCACTCCCAGCAGGTGTGCTTGATTCCCATGGGGTCTTCTCCAGAGGTGTGTTTTATGGGCTGAATTGTGACCCCCCCAAAACTTCACAAGTGGAAGCCCTAACCCTGAGTAGCTCTGAATGTAATTACATTTGGAGATGGAGCCTTTAAACAGTCAATTCAGTTGAAACAAGGCCCTGTTAGTAGGCCTAATCCAATCTGTCTGGTATCCTTCCAAGACATTGTATGCAAAAAGGGACCCCAGAGATGCTAGTGCATAAGGAAAGACCATGCAATGACACAGTGAGAAAGCAGCCATCCATATGCCATGGAGAGAGCCCTCAGGAGAGACCAACCATGTCGACACCTTAATCTTGAACTTCCAGCCTCCAGTACTGGGAAGAAATAAATTTCTGTTGTCTAAGCCCCCTATTTTGTGGCATTTTGTTAGGGTGGCTCTAGAAAACTAATACAATTTGGTAGAAAATCTGCACCCCAAAGCTGTACAAAGAGAGCAGAAAGGATGAGAAAGCGGTTTCCTCCCAACTCTCATCGCAGTGGTCAAGTTTCATTCCACAGGGAGCAAATGCCCACACACGCTGGGGCTGCATCCTCTGACGTCTAGGTGGCTGCACCCAAAGCCATGACACAGCTCGTTTGTGTGGCATTTCACCCAGGTCTGGAAGTGGAAAGTCATGTAGGTGGCATTGACCAACATAATGAAGGAGGCCGTTGAGAGAATGTGGAAATATGAACAAGGTTTGTTTCCTATAATCACTTTCCCACTCTGAATTTCAGTTTTCTTATAATAATGACAACTTCATAATGTTATTGAAGGCATCAAATAAAATCATAGTGTAAAAGGGTTTTATAAACCATAAGCTATTCATTGGCCACCAACATTATCTAGAACCAGGTAAGCTATTTCTCAGGCTTGCTTCTTGGTTTTAAGAGTCTAAGGCAGCTTGTAGAGCCTCAACTGAATTATAATACACTAAATTAGAGCTGATTAGGCCCCAAATGCCTCTAACTTGGATACTCCATTTCAATCTTAAATAATACACTGGTGCTGGATAAGCGTACAACTCTAACCTGACACAGTCCTTTGGGTTCAACCTGGTTGGCTTTGAACAGATGCAAAAATTACACCCCTGCTTCCACCAGTGGAATGTAGACATATGAGGAGGTACAAGAACAGTAGACCACCTTCCTCTGTGGCTTGCCTTTCTGTCCACCAAGAACAAAGGGGGAGAAAAGAGAGTCAGAGAGTAGGATTTGAAAGGAGAAAATAATGATAACAATTCTTTCCATTTCCTAGCACCTATTATGTGCCAGACAATGTGCCAGGAAATTTGCAACTTATTTGTAAGTCTCACAAAAACTCTTCAGCAAACATATTATTAGTCATATTTTAAAATAAAGATAACATGGATCATTGAGGTTACATAGCCACTAAAATCATACAGCTAATAAGTGGTAGGGCCAAGCTTTGAACCCAAGTTTGAAAAAAACGGAAAGGAGAAAGAGGGAGAGAAGAGTGAAGATTGAAGAGGAGAAAAAAAGGGAGAGGGGGAAGGCGTGAGAGAGGAAGGAAGAAGAGATGAAGAGAAGGGAGAGAGGGAGAAAAGAAAGAAGGAAAAGGAAAAATGAAACAACCAGATATGGATCTGGATGACAGAGAAAAAAAAAGAAGGACCGCTTAGTAAATGTGAATCTCCCTCTTGGAAAGAATGTTCAAATGGGAGAAGTCTGTTCTTTACTGAGCCTTGGCTCTCATTCTTATAGAAGAAAGAGACTCTCATTAGAATTTCACTGTCACCAAAATAATCTGATGTTTCAAATTCACTTATGCTCCTTCCCAGGAAAACAAATGTTCAAGATCACAATTCTCAAAAGTCTGTGCCTTTAGAAAGCAACTGCCCATGCTCCATGGTGCCCGGTGGCTATAAGGATGTCTGGACTCCAGGGGCCTTTGCACTGAGATGTTGTCTAAGTAAAATCAGGGTTTCTGAAGTTTTGGCAGTATAAGATGAGCCCTGAACTTATAGGATAAACTATGAAGACCTGTATTAGGTGTTCACTACAGTGCAAAATTCAAGGTACTTGAATATATGAGGCAACTTTGATTTAGAAGCTACAAATTTAAGGAAAGCTACAGATCTTATATTCTGTGTAACAAGACTTTAACAGCAAGAAAGCTTTGCTAGAAAGAATAATAATAATAATAAATGTGGCAAATAGAAAACACAAAATAAAGCAGAAGAAAAAAACACTGGTCAGGCATGGTGGTTCACACCTGTAATCCCAGCACTTTGGGAGGCCGAGGCGGGCGGACTGCTTGAGCCCAGGAGTTCAAGACCAACCTGGGCAACATAGTGAAATCCTGTTTCTACAAAAAAGACAAAAAATTAGCTGGGCATGGGGGTGCGCTTCTGTAGTCCCAGCTACTGCAGGGGCTGAGGCAGGAGAATCACTTGAGCTCAAGAGGTCGAGGCTGCAGTGAGCTGAGATCACACCACTGCACTCCAGCCTGGGTGACAGTGAGATCTTGTCTCAAAAAAAGATAGGTCAGTTCTCACAATAGATCTGAAGAAAGAACTAAGTTCTCTAGACTGTACACTGAGATAATCATTCTTTTTCTTTGAGAAATTTAGTTACATAATGATTATAAGAAGAGGAACCTTACAATATAGGACATTTTTTACTATAAAGCTAAAATAAGTCAATGGATGTTCGATGTAGGAACCAGGTTTCTCAGTGTTAGAAAGAGAAGTTATACATAAGCAAGAAGTGTAGAAGTAATCCTGTGGCACTAGATTAGAATCGGGCATATCAGCATGAACTTATATTTAGTTTGATATAGATACAGATTTACATGTAGGGAGAAATAATTATAGTTATATGTGCATACATGGGTTAGTATACATACTCATATTTTTTAGCTCTGTCCACTGAAAAGTCCTAGAAGCAGTTACACCCCAGTAGCAATAAACACAGCCAGCACCCACATCTTGGTTTCTAAATACCATTTTCCAACAAAAAAGAACAAGAGCTTTTTGAAGAAATGGTTGATTCTTTAATTCCATTCATCTCTACTCCAACATAAAATATAAGTTAAGCCTGGAGCATGTCATAGTGCCAGAAAGTATGGAAGTGCTCAAAAAACAAAAAGGTGAGAGCATGTCAAAGAAGCACAGAAGCTAGCCTGAAAGAGCTCCCAATAGCCAAAGCTAATATAATCTGAGCAACAAAATAAATAATGTATCTTGGGTCACAGAAGAAATCAAAGGAAAATGTAAAAAATATAAATAAATAAATAATGTAATATTGAATAATAATCCATTTCTAACCTAAAGCATAAAATAAATATATATTAGAACATACCAATACAAATAGTTATGGAATACATTAATAAATGGGGGGAAGAGACAAAGTTTCCTTATGGAAGAATATCACATAATATATGTAAGACACTCCCCATCTGGGAGGTGGAGTTTAACCCTGCCCGCCTCCCAGGGATGGGCTAGATTTAGTAATTCGCTTTGGAAGAATAGAGTAGAGAAAGGGAAAAATAGTAACTCTGTAGTAGATAAGCCTGGAAAACACCACCTTAGCCAAGTGACGAATGTTAACGTTACCAGCGATGTCATGCGGATCTTATATGCCCTCTAATATGATGTGAACAGAGAGGCACTTCACCTCTTTGAGGTTCTTCCCAAAACTCATATCCCAATTCTAATCACAAGAAAAGCAATAGACACACCAAGTCAGGGGAACATTCTGCAGGCTTTCTGGACAGTACTCCTCAAGATTATCAAGATCAGGAAAAACAAGGAAAGACTGAAAAACTGTTACAGATCAGAGGAGGCTAAGGTCATATGACAAATAAATACAATGTGGCACCTTCAATCAGATCCTGCAACAGAATTGGTTCCTTCATTTTGCAATCATACCTTGGCAATGTAAGAGATTCACAACAGGGGAAACTCAGGGAGGAATATACAGGAACTCTCTTTACTTAGTAATGTCTCTGTAAATCCAAAACTCTTCCCCGCCAAAAAATTTATCTTAAAAAATGTAGAACACAGAAAAGAAAATTATAGCCTGATCTTACATATCAATAAAATAAAAAAGAGATCAAATAGTAACCTATAAGAAAAAAGAATCCAACACAGAATAAACAATAACAATACATTCACACATGTATACATAACACACACACTCATGCATACACACATCACAGCCAAGCAAGGTATTTTAGTAATATGGGCTGATTTAATAAGAGAAAAGCCTTTAATGTAATTAAAGGTATAATCTCATCATCATCTCAACTGTTGCAGAAAAATATTTTTTTAATTTGATACCATTAAAAACAACAATAACCAGAGTCTGGGAAGGGTAGTGTGGAGGGGGAGAAAGAAAGGAGTTGGTTAATGGGTATAAAAATATAATTAGAAGGAATCAAATCTACCATTTGGTAGCACAATAAAGTGACTATAGGAAACAATAATTTATTGTATATTTCAAAATAACTAAAAGACTGGAATTAGAGCGTCCCTAACACAAAGAAATGATCAATGTTTGAGGTGGTAGATACCCCACTTACCTTGATTTTATTGTCACACATCATATGCTTGCAACAAAAATCACATGAATCCCATAAATATGTACAATTAGTAGTATTCGTAATAATTTAAAAAGTTAAGCAACAACAACCTGACTGCTAATTCTAGCAAGTTAGAATAGACAGCAATTTTATTAACAGCATAAAATATTTTTTCAAATACTTATAGTGAACATCATGTTTAATGGTAAATTATTCGAAGCAAGAAAAAGATAAAAATGCCCACTATTAACATTTCGACTTAATATTTCATTTGAGGTCTTACACAAAAAGCAAGAAAAATAAATGATAAAAAAATTTAAGATAAGAAAACTAAACTGTCATTATTCATAAACATTTTGATTGTTCATATAGAAAAGTTAAAACTGTAGTTAAATTATGAAACCTAATAAGATAATTTAGCAAGAAAATAAAATTGTTATGCAAAAGTGAATTTTATTTCTATATGCTAACAGGAAAAGTTAGAAGATACCATTTTAAAAACATAATTTGTAAAAAGCAACAAACAGCTTTCAAATATGCAAAAGACTTACATGGAATATAAGAATAAATTTCAAATATATAAAACATTTATAAGGATAAATGCATTAAATATATTGAAGAATAGTAAATAAGACCTAAATAAATGGAAAAATATACCAGAGCTGTAGATTGGAAGAATCAGTATCATAAAGACATCAAATGAGAAAGTGATCGCAATTCTAGCCAAAATCCTAATAGCTTTTTTCATAGAACACAACTGATTTAAAAATTAAAATGTAATGCAAGGGGCAAGGATGAGCCAGGACATGCCTGAGGAAGATCAGTTTGGAAGGAAATGCCCTAATTGGTATCAAAACTTAAAATAAACAAAACTTAAACTCTCTTTACTTAGTAATGTCTCTGTAAATCCAAAACTCTTCCCCCCCAAAAAATTTATCTTAAAAAATGTATAATCTTAAATCTTAAATGTATATCTTAAAAAATCTATAATAATTCAGAAAGTATTTTTTTGTTCAGAGATTAATGAATAAATGAAAGTAATAAAGTAAACAGCTCAGAAATAGATTCTGATCCTCACTTTGCTGTTTGGTGGGGAACAGAGCTGGGAGGATTGGTTCGCCGTACAAGAAAAAATATTTTAATTTGGATCTTTATCTCATGCCACATACAAAAATCAGTTTCATGTGGATTAAAGACTTTATTGTGAAAGACAAAACTAGAAAACATATAGAGGACAGGTTAGGATACTATTATTACAATCTCAGGGTTATATAGAAATAGAGTAACCAAAGGAATAAATGTCAAATACACTGACATGGATTTCACACAGGCAATGTCCAGCCAACATGAAACTGACAAAGTTCACTTTCCTGAAAAATGTTATGAAATTTCATATATGTTATATTTAATTTATAATATGTAAAAAGATACCTTACTATAATAATTTAAAAATAACTATAAAATAAACACCTAAGTCCCCAATTTATTCAATTCATGAAACAAGAGGTTGGTACATTCTTTCATTCAAACCCTTCTGTAAATGGTAGATATATTTACACGTTATAGTTATACAACGTATTAACCTAAAACACTTTTAATTCTGCAGTGGTTAAATAAAGCTGGCAAGGTTTCTGCCTTCACCGTACAAATTCTTAATGTTTTCAATAATGACCTCCCCTATAATAGCCAGGATGCGGGCATCAACCACACTCCCACGACGCCACCCCAAAGGCACTGCACTTCCTTCACTGTGGGGTCAGCTATTGCTAGGGTGACCATAAGTCTCATTTGTACAAGACAGTCACGGTGTATTCCCAGAGCCCAGGATTAATCATTAATAATGTCTTCTTTCACTCTCAAAATAATTCCAATCCCCCTAGTTGTTTCAACCTCATATACATGTGCCTCATTTGTTCTGAAGCCATCTGCTAGACCTGGCCAATGCTTCCTTTTGTTAAAATAACACATTTTGTCTTTCTGTCACTTTATGTCTTTTGTTCTCTACCTTTCTACAAGGCCCTCCCTTCCTTGGGACTTCTCATAAGACTATTGATGCACTGTGGCTTTACTCTTCCCAATACGTACAACTTCACAGAAGCAATGTCATAAAGAGATGACCTAAAGTAAAGAGAGGCAGAGACCAAAAATAAGGTGAATTCCAAAGGTGGTAGGGTCTTGTTATCTCTGAGCCCCCTTTATGGACTGGCAGCTGAGTTAGAATTTCTTCCTCCAAACCAGAAGTCTATCCTCTGCATATCTAGCCATTGAAAACCACAGCTTGCATATACCATGCTTGGCAATGAACGTGCATACACCCTCAGTAGTGGGAAAGAAAGCTAGCCAGCTGTGCAGAGCTGGCAGAGAGAGACTGATCAAGACCAGATCGTGTCCTCGCTCTTAGCTCCTGCTTCAGCCTTTCACTCTTTAGCTCTCTTCCTTTCTTTTTGCACAAGATTTGCTATAATTTTATCCAAAATTAGGAATTTTTCTGCACAAGACATTGAATAAGTGATTAATATTCATAGTAAACTACCCCCCTCCCTTGACTTATTCTTGACTCACTGTTAGGTTAGAGACATGATTGTCAGTAATTTCATATCAACTAAGAGCTACTGGTTTTAAATACACAACTGAGAGCTCTTATTGTTTGTTTGGAATGACCTGAGACCTTTTGGTTATTTCTTATTTTTTGTCTGTATACTGCTCAGGAAAGTTGCTGAAGAGTTAGTTTCTGTAAATATAACCCTGTAAATATAATCAAATGATTCTGTTTCTAATCAAAGTGTTGGGGACATTTAATAGGCACTTGTTTATTAATTGAATTGATACTTGCATTTTTTCTCTTTCCTAAGAATTCTTGTTCAAGTCTGTATTTATGTTTATGTTTAAATACAAGAGGCATTCACTAAGGAAGGATTTTGTCAAAAGACAAATTTAAAGTAGTTTAACTCAACATAGGGAGATCACTTTATGATATATTTTTAAGGGCAAGTAAGTTTAGGCAGCAAATTGTGCTAAAAATGAAATAAATGTTAGATAAGTTATTAATCTTATATTTAACAAAAGGTTATAGCTGCAGTGAGATAAATCTTAGAATTTGAGGGGGCATTGTTTTTCCAGGCAAACTTGTATCACAGTATACTATGACAATTTTCAATTCACATTTGGATTGTACTACATCATAATAAAAATCACATATTTTTAGGAAAAAAAAACAGGGAGGGACTTCATTAATTTCTCCAAGGGGTTTGATGTTTAAATCAATCTCCTTTGAACACCTATCCTGCCACCATTATTTTTTAAAATATTCTATGTTTCAACTGGACAGTCTCTGCCAGTTACTGATATGCCAACAGCTTTGTATATGATCTAAGTAGTATACAATATTAATCTTACGTCTTTTACAAAAAGACATCTCACTTTGCAATTGATTTGGATAGCACGGTTGGTAGTTTATAATAAATATTTGATATCTAAAAGATAGCAAACAACTGATAGCTACTGAAACAATGGGTAGGAAGAGATGTTAGTGTTAAGTGGAGAAGGGTATTTATAGACTAATTTATAAATGATCATTACTGTTTCAAAGACTGCCACTTCCTTTTGGAACCTGATAACTGTAAGACCCAGATAATGTATTCTGGTCTGACAATGAGAAAATTCTACTTAGATGATACACAGTTATATCACACATGTGAATTCTACTTAATGAAATTGTCTTAGACTGTATATTTCTGATATTTCATTCCTGTAGTTAGGCATTTCCTAGACCTTGAATTTCATCACTTCAAACACATTTTCAATACTGTTCACATTATTGAATTTACCAGAAAGTGTGCGCTAAATTTCTTTTCTTTTCTGAATAGCAGTCCATATGTTATTTAAGACATTTGCTGCATTGTGTTATTTGAGCCAGAGACGTAAGTCTTGGGAGAAAAACATAAAATAAATACATTGATGCTATATGTCTTGAATATAACTCTGAGAGCTTCCGAACTATCCTAAAACCTTACTTTCCTTTCTGGTTAGTAAATTTCTTGGGCTCCATTTTGTTATTATAGTGTCAGTTACTTTGCATCAGAACAAATAAGGCACTACATCAGAGCAGCTAAAAATGTAAACTTGGGAATCAAGTGATTTTGATTAAGTTGTGTATCTGAATGCCTCAACTTCCTCATCTCCAAAAGTGAAAAGAATAATAATACCTACTTTGAAGGATTGTTGTGAGGATTAAATAAGTCAAGACATAGAGAGTACTTAAATAGTGCCTGATACATAGTAAGTGCTTTACAGATACTAGCACTTAGGGCATCTAGTTGCTGTTAAAAGTCTGCTGAATCTTTTAATAACCATTTTAGGTGAAGCTAAAAACAAAGATAGTACCCAGATAGCAAATGAGCAGGATTAGCTGGTTCTGCACGTGAGGTTACTCTCAAAATCTCGGGTAGAAATGTTAAGAGAGGGGGCGGTTGCAGTAACAGCTGGCTAGGTAAGGGTTCCATCTCCAATCACTGTGTGGCCCCCGTTGACTCCCTTGCTTTTTCTGAATCTTCTCCCTCAGCAAAATAAAGAGACTGAATTAGTTGACCCTAGTGGTCATTCTTCATTCTGGAATCTCACAGCTTAATCTGCCCCAAAATAGGCAAGATCAAAAGAGTGAAAACAAATGCGGTTTAGTCAAGGACCTGTACTAAGTAGCTGTAGTGTTCTCCCTGTTCTGTGAGGGATGTCTTCCCATTTGACCCTGTTCTGTGAGGGATGTCTTCCCATTTGAGGCCGTCCTCAGAAGACTGGAAATGTCTGATCTTTTTTTAATAGTGAGAGTGGTAAAGCCTGTGCTTAGTGATCTGGGTCTCCAGGAGAGCTGAAGTCCTCACTGGTAAAAAATAAACACCCCTACAAGAAAGAATATATTTGGAGAACAAACTATAGGAGCAGCCTGCAAAGTCTCTTCTTGCTCTCATCTTAGCCACTTGCAAGGGGGGAAAAGAAAGCTGTTATCTACTAATTGCCTAATGTGTGCCAACCACTGTGCTAGACATTTAATAGATATGACAAGAACCATACAAGGTGGAGTTTATTTTTCCTATTTTACAAATGTGGAACTTAAGGCTCAAAGAGGGAAAGTGATTTTCCAAGTATACACAACAAGAAAATGGAAGAACCAGAATTTGAATTGCAATCTTTCTGGTTTCTGCTCTTTTCACTCCAGCAGGTTGCCATGGGCTCCACCTTACCTACTCCCATGGCCAATGAGAACAAGACCTGATGGTATGTGACTATCCAACCCCACCAGCTGGTAGGTGGCAGAATGAGTCTGTGGCCCAAAGCCCATTCTCTGAATGCCAAGGACAAGCCTACAGATGCTTGCATATTTCATCTTCACTCTGTGTTCCAAAGCCTGTCTTCCAACTATAAGAAATGCCTAAATTAAATTATAGAATTATTCTTACATTGATCTTAGTCCAGCTCCAATTCTTAAAGATGTGAATTAATTCAATTTGGATGATTTAGAAAAACAATATAATATAGTAGAAAGAACACAGAATTTGGATTCATATCCTGGCCTCCACCACTTACAAACTGGATGAGACTAAGCAAGTCACACAATCTCCTTGAGCTTTCGTTTCCTCATATGTGAAGTGTGGATAATGATGCATGATTCAGAGGTTATTGCCAGGATTAAAGGATAAAATGCATGTAAATTGCCCAATACAATGCTTGATAGATTCTTGGTAACTGCCAATGCCCCTTTTGCACCAATTATCAGCATTTCATCATCCTGACTCTCTTCCTATATGGAAATTAAGGTCCATAAGGGAGCGAAATTGAGAACACAGAAACAGATCCATTTATATATGGAATTTTCACATATGACAAAGGAGGCATAGAAGAGAAGAGTGAAAAAGCAGAGACACTGGTCTGAAAAAAATATTTTTTTACATGGAAAGTTTAAATGGATTGCTACCTCACACCACACACAAATAGCAAATTTGGATCCAAAGTTAAGAACAAAATTGTAAAATTTTTGGAAGAAAATATAAGAGTAAACATATTGAGCCTTAGCATAGATCAAAATTTCTTAAAAATGATACAACGATGTTAACCCTAAAATAAATTTGACTCATTTGACTGCATTAAAAAGTAAAAATTCTGTTCATGAAAATCTTCCTTTAAATTTTTTTTAAGAAAATTAAGAAACTGGAAAGACACTTGTCATGACATATCAGACAAAGGGAAAAAGTATATAAAGTACTTTTTTAAAAAATCATAATAAAAAAGACCAAAGTCAATTGAAAAATAAAGATGTGAGCAGGCATGTCAAAGAAGAGGAAAAACCAATAAAAAGATGAAGATACATTGAAATTCATTCTTACTCAAGGAAATGAAATCAAAGCCACAATGATATATCATGTTGTACCTTTCTGATTGACAAAAACTTAGTAGTTAGACTATAAAAAGTGATGGGGAAAATCTGAAACAATGGCTCTCAGACATAGCTAGTAGCAATAATGATTTGGGGCTATCTTATAAAGTTTAACTTTTGCATGCTTTATGGTTATGCAATTACATTCTTATACCTAAGGAACATTTTTCACATGTGCCCAGGAGAAATGTACAATAACATTTGTAGAAGCACTTTGTGTAATAACAAAAAATTAAAAACAAACTCTACCAGTCAGGGTCCAGTCAAGAGACATAAATCACACAGGAATTTGAACAGGGACTTTTATACATGAATAAAATATTAATTATAATGGGGGATTAGAGTAACAGGCAATTGGTTATTCAGAGGTTAAGAGAACTCTAAAGGATATAAGAATAGAAGATACAAGGTGCAGCCGCTACCCCTAGAACTGAATTAGAGCACTAAAGAAAAGAATACACCTAAAAGAGGACCCCTTCCCCAAAGTTAAGATGCAGACTCCACTGGAAAGCTCTCTGCTGTGGCTCACAGATGGTAAAGAAGTCCACTGAGGTGTCCGGTGGGAATCCACTCTCTAGGATGCCAGTAGAAACCACTCACAGGGAGGCAATGTGGCTCAGAACTCATTGTGTAGCCACCTGAGGGGCACCACGGGAAGCTTCCTAAACAGGAACTCCACATGTTGCCAGCCCCATGTGCTGCTGCCTGCCATGTACTACAGTAGCCAGCACTAGAGCTGGCACTGGAGAAGGCTTCCCAAGGAGCACACTGGCGCTGGAAGAGAAGTCTTGTGTTGCCATCTAGTACCCATCACTGACAAAGGTGAAATGTTTACAGGGTCTGTACCCATTGTCACAGAACAGCAATGAAGGGTGGCTCTGGAAGAGAGACAATGAAATAATGGCTGACACGTATCCCAAATGCCCATTAAGGAGAAAATAAGGACATTCACATCACAGAATATTATCACCATGGAAATGAATGAACAACTTTAAGCAACAATATCCATAGCTAGAACATGGGTGATTCTTAGTGACATAATGTTAAGAGAGGTGAAAGGAAAGCAGATATGATCATGGAGGAGGCCTCAGGTAGTTGTAATGGAATTGATCTGATTCCTGGGTTGGGTGGTGATTCATCAGTGTTTATTATAGTATTATATCATATCAGTATACAAAATGAAAGATGGTCATGCATGATGCTGAGACTGCATCATAAACAGTAGGTTATGAAAAATACAACTCATGTCTCTGTATGTGAGGTACCAAAAATGTTTAAAAAGTTAAAAAATTAAATAATTAGAAATATAGTCTGATAAAATTTCACATTATTACGTTACTCCCTGAGTACCATGTCTTTCAGCTTGTGCTATAACTGCAAAGAAAAAAATTTAATAAATTTCCCAATTTCTCTGGTATTTCCTGATGCAGTGCTTCTCAAACTGTGTCAAAGGACAATTTCATTGCTTGTTTTTTTCCCAGTCGTGACGTGCTGATTCTTTGGTACCTCTACTCTGTTCAAAGCAATGAATACATTGATCATGACTTTATTTGTAGGGACATTGTCAAGTTGCTATAATGCTTCTAAATGGTTTCTCTTTGATTCTGTACTCATCTAGGATGGACCTGTAATAAACCGCCCCAAGCCTGGCACGAGTCCTTTCTCTAATGGGTTAGAAACATGTGCTTCAGAATCAGATAAGCTTAGGTTTGATTTCCTCCTCTATCACTTACTACCTGCTTGGATAAGCAGATTAGCTCTCTGAGCCTTTGTTTCTTCCTCTATAAGATGATAATGAAAAATATTTGATAGAATAATAAAGAGGAAGGTCTGGAACAAGATGAATGAAGCACTCACTCACTGCAGGGTTCACAGCTGAGACTGAGGCCTCTCAAAACTTTGCATCCTAGGTGTCTCCCTTGCTTTACCTAATCTGTGAGGGCTAAATGAAATTGGGTAAAAAAAGTGCTTAAACAACGTGTGGCACAGAGTAAGATCTTCTGTAATGGTGTTCATAATTATGATTCCAATTTACTCTTAATATTATTTATGATTATTTTTGTTGTGTTATTATTATCAACCGGGCTTAATCTCTTAGCTCTCCATTTCTGTTCGTTAAGCTAGAAATATAGTGAAAATCCCTTTGGAGGGAAAATGTTCATGTAGAAAAAGCAAAAGATTCAGCTTTACTCTTCCCTCATCCATTTATTCATTTGGCAACACTTTATATTGTACCTAATATATGTCAGAACTATGTTGTTTACTGAAGATAGAGAATGAATAAGGCACAGTCTGTGTATTCTCAAAGAACTCACAGCCTGAGGTCAAGTGGGGTACGTTTAGGGAGTGATGGTAAAATGGCAACTGCTATAATAGAGGTTAAGTTGGGTCTAAGTTAGCCCGGAGGAGGAATCACCTATGTTTGGTGAGGCAGTGATCACGGTGGACTTGAGTCATAAAAAATGAATGATACTTTTACAAACCTTCCAAAATATAATGGGTTCATTTCCCCACTGTGTGTTCTTCCATACAACAAAAATGCATAACACATAGAGGAAAAAAATAACACTTCTCAGATGAAATAGACTGCAGAGATCATCACGTGCCAATGGTAATCAACCAGAGAAAGTACCGCCCTCTAAGGGGCATTTGAAAACATGCTGGGGTGTGTTTAGCTGTCATAACTGCCGTTAGGTTACTAGCATTTTGTGGGCAGGGAGTTCAAGATGGTAAACATCCTGTAATACACAGGACAGTCCAACACAAGGAAGAATTGCATTTATGAAATACCAATAGTGTTTCCTTTGAGAAGCACTGAAGACAGCTCGTGACTTATAGATCTACATGAGGTCAAATAGGCGGAAACAAAAATGCCAAAGCCATTCACACAATTATGTGTACCCTATAGTGACAACTGCCTTCCTAGAGCTAGTCTAAGCCTTCAAGCATCCTCTCGTTTGTGAATCACAAACGCTGCTGAGCGCACATCAGTGACTATGCAACATGGGCCTTGGTCCTTTTTTCTACAAAGTATGGACCTCCTTGTCAATATGCCACCAAGCTGGACATTCCAAACCATGCTGACTGGCAATTTTACAGGGTAACAGACAAATGTATTGTGGTTTGTTAGTTTAGTGTCCCTGATACCTTTTCTTCTTCCACATCGGTCATTCTTTCTAAGCTTCAAGAAATACCTTTCTTTCCCTTCTGTCAATATCCCATTCCTTCTCAAAGATCCACATTTGTGACAATCTCTATGTTTAAGTTGAAAGGTTTTAACATTTTTATTTTCTTTTACTGAAATTCAAAAGTCATTTATTAAACCAGGAGGAATTAATTTTATGTTGTTTTTAACATGTTGTATTGCATGAATAGCCAGTTTTCATTCAGCCAAGACCCACAACACACCAGGAATTTTCATATAGGAATTTAAGGAATTTTACTTATACTGAAGTATGACCATAGGAAGTTTTTACCTAGAAAATATGCAGACTTTACTGGACAGCATTGAGCAGTATTTTCCATAATTATCTACAAATCACTAATAATCTTTATGATGCAAAAAGTTTACATAAAAGGTATTATGAAAACTAACTCAGTGAAAAACTCAGCATATTCGATATGTTTTTTTATTTCTGGAATAAAGTAAATAAATGAAATCATTTTTTAAAAGTTTTGCTACTTTAGAATAAGCCTGTAAATTTTTAACAATATGCACTAAAATGTTTGTATATTTTACCAGTTTTGTATATTTCCTGGTTTGGCAAACACTGGTATGATGTATAGTAATTGTTGTAGTTTGTGTCAAATCAGCAGTCAATCAGATCTGTCATTATGTGTTTTAGATCTGATTCTAAAGATTCAATTGTATAGTCATTGTGGTAAGACCTTGCTTGACAGCCACTGCAACAAGAAAAGCCAAGGTGATGATGACCAGCCCATAATATTGGCAAGCAGATGGTCATTGCTGTAGCTCTAAGAATGAGTCTAGCTTTCTTTGCAGTTTTTCACAAATATTTCTACAAAAACATAGAGGTTCAACTTCATTCCAACCAGAAAAATTTGTTTTCCAGAGCTGGAAGACACTATGGAGATTTTCCAAATAGACTTCCTATATGGATAGGGAAGCAGAGACCCAGTGATGATAATTCATTTGTACAAACTCACAAAATGAGATAATGGGGGAGCCAGAATTGGAAATCAAATTGGTCTCAATTGAGAGATATAGACTCAACATTAGAAAAGCCCTATGGGTCACATGGTAACTAGCACTCCCCATCCCCGCTGTCCTCTGCTTTCTCACTGCCAGGCCAAGGGTGTATCAGCATTCTGTGACTTCCCAGAGACCCACACTGATGATGATCTCTGTACATAAACTGAAGAGGTTTAAAATTTTTATTTTTCATTACCAAAATACACTAATTAAGTTCTTTCTTATACCTTGAAAAAGCAAGAAAATATCTGAGCATGCAAAAAATGTCATTAAACTCATGGTCATAATTAACTGGACATATTCCAGTCTTCTATATGAAGCCTGTTGATATATTCTTTCTGTATACATTTACTAAACAGATCTAACAAACTAACTAAAAGAAAACACTAGAAGCAAGAGTTGATAACTGAAAATCTTACCATGAGGACTGAGACAGAAAAATTTAAAAGATAGAAATGAATTTAAGAAGCTTAAGTATGACCATTAAGAGGTGGAGGCATTCATATCCCAATAGATGTTTGCAAAATGGGAGAAGAAAAGGTCTCAATTATCTGGGCCATACGCTTATTGGCACAGGGGCCACACAGAATTACTGTCAGTAAGCTCATCTCCATTTTCTTGATTACACCTATAAAAGTGTGTTTTGCCTGGCCAGGCGCAGTGGCTCACGCCTGTAATCCCAGCACTTTGGGAGGCCAAGGAGGGTAGATCACCTGAGGTCAGAAGTTCGAGACTAGCCTGACCAACATAGAGAAATACCATCTCTACTAAAAATACAAAATCAGCTAGGTGTGGTGGCACACGCCTGTAATCCCAGCTACTCAGGAGGCTGAGGCAGGAGAATCACTTGAACCTGGGAGGCGGAGGTTGCAGTGAGCCAAGATTGTGCCATCGCACTCCAGCCTGGCAACAAGAGCAAAACTTCATCTTTAAAAAAAGAAAGAAAGAAAGAAAAGTGTGTTTTGCCCAATGGAGACTAAAGCCACCAAAAAGAAATATTTAAGTAAGTAATAGAGATACATTTGCCAGAATTAGAAAAAGCTGAAAGACTTCAGAATGAAAGAAGAGAGATGAGTGGTGAAAACTAGAACAGGATGTATTATAATGAAATTAACAATATCAAGAGAAAATTATAAAAGTGTCAAAGGAAAAGTACAAATTAATTATTTATTTATTTATTTATTTATTTATTTATTTATTTATTTATTTATTTTGAGATGGAGTCTTGCTCTGTTGCCCAGGCTGGAGTGCAGTGGTGCAATCTCGGCTCAGTGCAAGCTCTGCCTCCCAGGTTCATGCCATTCTCCTGCCTCAGCCTCCCGAGTAGCTGGGACTATAGGTGCCTGCCACAATGCCTGGCTAATTTTTTTTTTTTTTTTTTTTTGTATTTTTAGTAGAGACGGGGTTTCACCATGTTAGCCAGGATGATCTCAATCTCCTGACCTCGTGGTCTGCCCGCTTCGGCCTCCCAAAGTGCTGGAATTACTCCCAAAGTGCTGGGCGTGAGTAACCGCACTGGCCTACAAATTATTTATGAAGGAACAAGAATAAGATGACATGTGGTTTTTTTCAGCAGCAATACTGATGCAAGAAGATAACGAAGTAATATTTTTAGAGTACTGAAGAAAAAGAACTTAGAATCCAAAATTTAATTTCAAGCCAAACTGTCATTCATACATGAAGTCATGATAAAAATATTACCTGGCATAAAAAATTTCAAAAGTTTTTCTTCACAAGGGCACAAGCACACATTGAAAAGGGATCAAATATTTTGGTAAAATTTGTAATTATCTGGAAAATAACTTAAGATTAAAGGAAAAGAGAAATATAAATATAATAATCCATAGTTTATCCAGAGTTAAATGTAGACACTATCAATATGGTGGTTGTGAATGGGGAACTCCAGGGATCTTGATAGGCTTAGTAAAATAAGAACTTTAAATATATATATATTACATATATATATAATATATATGTAATATATATATTTAAACATATAAAAAGGATTTTTTAAATTTCAATAGATTTTTGGGGAATAGCTGGTGTTCACTGACATGAATAAGTTCTTTAGTAGTGATTTCTGAGATTTTGGTGCACCCATCACTCGAACAGTGTGCACTGTACCCAATCTTAAGTCTTAAAAAAGGATTTTTTAATCATAAAAGGTGGGACACACTGAAATAAATATAGTAAAATGGCAGAAACAAGCCCAAATTTATCAATAATTTACATAAAATTAAATTAATGAATTCACCAAAGGAAAGAAAAAATTAGATTGATTTTATAAATCCGTGATGTTTACCAGAGACACACATAAAACATAAGATTAAAATTAGGCTGGGAGTGGTGACTCACACCTGTAATCCCAGCACTTTGGGAGGTGGAGGCAGGCAGATCACCTGAAGTTAGGAGTTCGAGATCAGACTGGCCAACATGGTGAAACCCAGTCTCTACTAAAAATACAAAAGTTAGCTGGGCATGGTAGGGGGTACCTGTAATCCCGGCTACTCGGGAGGCTGAGGCAGGAGAATCTCTTGAACCCAGGAGGCAGAGGTTGCAGTGAGCCGAGGTTGCACCACTGCACTCCAGCCTGGGCAACAGAACGAGACTCCATCTCAAAAATAAATAAATAAATAAATAAAAATTTTGAAAAGATTAAAATTAAAAAGATAAAGTAAATACAAGACAAATGCTAACTAAAAGAAACCTGCTTTAACTATTTTAACTAAGCTCTTTAAAACCTACATTAAACAAGTAAAACTAATTTTGAAATATAAAGCATTATTAAGAATGTAGTGAGTTATTTTCTAATGATTGAGCCATCCTTGCATGACTAGAATAGACATTTTAATGAATTTAGAAGCTACAGCAACTTTTAAATATTTTGAACTTAATAAAAATGTCTCAATACAAGTGAAGCAAAATATACAAAGAGAAGTGAACAAATTTCCTATTACATTTTAAGATTTCAACACATCTCTCTTGATTATTGATCGTACAAGCTGAAAAAAATTAGGAAGGATATAAAAGAACTGCAAAATATCTCAGTTGTATAGTCATTGTAGTGAGACCTTGTTTGACAGACTCTGGAACAAGAAAGCCAAGATTATGATGGCCAGCCCATAAAATTGGGAGGCAGATGGTAATTGCTCTGGCTCTAAAAATGGGTCTAGCTTCCTTTGTGGCTTATTACAGATATTTCTGCAAAATCATAGTATTATAGAGAATTAATTAAGAATCTTGACTAATGAGCAATTATAAAGTCTCCTTCCAATAGTTAGAGAATATCTACTTTTTTCAACTATAGTATGGGTCATTTAGAAAAACTGAGCAGGTAGTTGGGCACAGTGGCTCATACCTGTAATCTCAGCATTTTAGGGGACCAAGGTGGGAGGATCTCTTGAGGCCAGGAGTTCAAGACCAGCCTGGGCAACAGAGTGAGACCTCATCTCTACAAAAAAATAAATAAATAAATATTAGCCACACATGGTGGCATGCACTTGTAGTCCCAGCTACTCAGGAGACTGAGGCAGGAGGATTACTTGAGCCCAAGAGATCAAGGCTGCCATGAGCTATGATCATGCCACTGTACTCCATCCTGGGTGACAAAGCAAGACCCTATCTCTAAAAAAAAAAAAAGAGAGAGAGAGAAAGGAGAGAGAGAAAGAGAGAGAACTGATTAGGTATTAGCAAAAGAAAGCCTTAATAAATTAAATTTCAAAAAGAATTATACAGGCCATAACCTTTGAACACAACATAATAAAATTATGTTTACAAAATATTTTAAGTTTCCATTTTAAAATTTTAATATAAACACTAAAAAAGTATGTGTTACTGAATAAATCATAATTAATTTTTTAAATATTTAGTACCCAACAATAAGGAAAACAAAATATATCAAAACTTGTGTGAGATATCATATTTTTTAATACAAGCCATAAATAATATTAGAAAGGGAGAAGGTCTTAAAATTAAGGAGTTAAGTGTCCCTCTTAAGAAATAAGAATGAGATAATAAAACCATGGAGAGCAGAAGCAGAAAATAATAAAATTAAGAGCAGAGATCAACACAATAAATACAAAGATATAATTAAAAATATCAAAAAGTCAAAAGTTGGAAAAAAACAAACATGACAAGATCGATCAAGAGAAGAAGATAAAAGGCAAAAATTAATAATGAAAAGTGGGGTATAATTTGGGCCATAAAGACAGATAAATAAGACATTAGAAGGGACAAAAAACTAATATAGCAACTATTTGCCTGCAACTTTGAAAACTTAGGTAAAATGGACAAATATTTTTGAAAAGTATAAACAGAACTCAAGAAAAAATAAATTGGATAGTCTTATAATTATTGATAAACTAATGCAGCAATTAAAATCTTCCCACAAAGAAAACACCAGAACCAGATGATTTTACATTCAAGTTCTACCAAACTTTAAACAAATATATTCTCCTTTAGACAGCAGAAAAAGAGAGAATGACCCAATTTCTTCAATGAAGCTAGTATAACCTTAATCCCTAAAACAACCATTCATTTTACAAACATTTGGTAAAATTCACATTCATTGTTTTTTTTTTTTTTTTTTTTTTTTTTGAGATGGAGTCTTGCTGTGTCACCCAGGCTGGAGTGCAGTGCTGTGATCTTGGCTCACTGCAACCTCCACCTCCCAGGTTCAAGCAATTCTTCTGTCTCACCCTCCCGAGTAGATGAGATTACAGGTGCCCGCCACCATGCCCAGCTAATTTTTGTACTTTTAGTAGAGATCGGGTTTCACCACGTTGGCCATGCTGGTCTCAAACAGCTGACCTTGTGATCTTCCCGCCTCGGCCTCCCAAAGTGCTGGGATTACAGACCTGAGCCACTGCGCCTGGCCTCAACACCTGTTCTTAATAAGACTCTTAGAAAATTTGAAATAAATAAACACAATAAACAATGTACATTAAATATTTAAAGCAAAACTTACCCTAAATGAAAAATTGTTGGAAGAATCCTCTTCCAAGTTAGAAATGGAAAAAAAAAATTATTCTATTGCCACATTTAGGCAACAATGTATTGAAGAGTTTTGCTAGGGCAATAAAACCAGAAAAAATAAAAAGGTGCATAAAAACTTTTTAAGTTGATAAAAAGCTGTCAATACTTGCAGATGATAATGCTTTTTTACTTACAAAACCAAAAGGAACTACCTGTACATGATTAGAATAACAGGAGAGTTTGCTGGGTGCAGTGGCTCACACCTGTAATCCCAGCACTTTGGGAGGTCAAGGTGGGTGGGTCACCTGAAGTCAGGAGTTCGAGACCAGCCTGGCCAACATGGTGAAACCCCCATCTCTACTAAAAATACGAAAAGTAGCTGGGCGTGGTGGTGGGCACCTGTAATCCCAGCTACTTGGGAGGCTGAGACAGGAGAATCGCTTGAACCCTGCAGGTGGAGGTTGCAGTGAGCCAAGATCATGCCACTGCACTCCAGCCTGGACAACAAAGAGAGAGACTCTGTCTCAAAAATAAAGAAAGAAAAGAAAAAAAATAATAGGAGAGTTTGGCAAGATAACTGGGTACAAGAGCAATATAAAAATGTCAACTGCTGTTCTAAACACAACCTGAAACATAGAAAACACAAAGAAAAGACAATAAATTACAACTGTCAGAAGATGTTTCAGACCTCTATAATTTTTTTTAGTTTACTGAGATATTAAAGAAGATATATATAGAGAAATATATTTGTGAGTAGACTATTTATATGCTATCAGTTCTCCCCAATCAATCTATTGATTCAAATTGATTCAATGGAATTTAAATAAAAATTCCACCTAGGGTATTGTTAAATGAATTTTAATGAGATGATTATAAAATATATATGAAGGAGTTAAGTGCTAAAAGTAGTCTAACAAGGATACTTCTGAAAAAAAACAAGAATAAGGAACTTGCCTTACCAAACACCACCTTACTATGAAGCTGTAATAATTGGATCAGTCTGGTATTGATGGAAGGACAGCCACATTGACCAATGGAATAGAATAGAGAGCTCAGAAACAAACAAATGCATGTAAATAACTTTATGATGTCACAGAGGCACCATGTCCTACTAGAATGGAAAAGAGAAACTATTGGAGGATATAGGATACATGTACCAAAGTATCCATTACAGCAATGTTCTCATGGCAAAAACAATTAGAAGCAACCCAAATGCCTGTCAAAGGGAGAGTAAATGCAGTGTGATATATTCTCACACTTGTATATTATACAACAGTTATAAAAGAAACACAGAGAAGTGTAACAATATGTATTAATCTTGAAAATGTAAAGTTAAGTAAAAGAAGTAAATCTCAAAGGATTACATACAGTATAACATCCTTTTGGTAAAAATAAAAACAACTAAAGTGAATATGTTTGCATTTACACACAATTATATATAATGTGCACATCATATATAATCTGTATACACAATGGTGTTACATAAAGAGGCAATAACACTTTATAATAAAGGAAGCAAGTGAACTAACACAGGATCTCAGACATTGATTGCCTTGTGAGAGGGAACAAGGAGGCAGAAGGATGGGTTGGTTATAGTCAAGGTCTTAGCTTTTGTTTTAGATGGTGTTTTCAAGAATACTTGCTGCATTATTAAAAATAATTAGGCTGGGTGTGGTGGCTTACGCCTGTAATCCCAGCATTTTGGGAGGCCAAGGTGGGTGGATCACGAGGTCAGGAGATCGAGACCATCCTGGCTAACATTGTGAAACCCCGTCTCTACTAAAAATACAAAAAATTAGCTGGGTGTGGTGGTGGGCACCTCTAGTCCCAGCTACTCAGGAGGCTGAAGCAGGAGAATGGCGTGAGCCCAGGAGGCGGAGCTTGCAGTGAGCCGAGATAGTGCCACTGCACTCCAGCCTGGGCAACAGAGCAAGACTCCATCTCAAAAAAAAAGAAAAAGAAAAAAAGAAAATAATAATTAAGGTTAAGTAAATAAAAGTCACCAATAATTGACCAATAATTAGTGTATATCACGATTATAATTAATCCAAGTCTATGCAACCTGAGGTCCAATAAAATAAAACAATAAAATAAAGGGTAGACCATTGTAGAAATACGAGGCCATGTTAGTAGTACTAATCCTGTTGCAATTTTTCTTTAGAGACTTCCTTGGTCCCAGGGTCAGGATGGAGTGCCATGGTTATTTGCTTGTGTCCCCATCCAGTTCTTGTGGAAGCATTTTCAACTAGATAGTGAGCCATTCGTCTGGCCAAAGCAACAGTAACATCAGCTCCTCAGACTTCACAAGATGACAGAGCCCCATTCATTCCCAGATCTGAACTTCACATTGATCCTATTATTTTCCAGGCCTAGGGGTCACTTTCCAGCCCTTCTCTTGACCTAGGAACTTCTTATCATTCCCCTTCATCAAGTCAGTTAAACATCTCTGCATGTCAATTGCACCTGTGTTGGTCACTGGTTTTGTTTCAAGTGGTTCATTCCATGGATGGAGGACTCAGTTTCCCCAGCAGTCACAACTTAACGAAAATGGCAAATGAGTTAAACTGGCTAGATTTCACTCAAGAACAAAATTGATGGTCATGGTCTGACTTATCAGTTGTTCCCCTTTCAGTCAGTGATTTCCATGTGTATTAGTTTGTTCCCACATTGCTATAAAGACTACCTGAGGCTGGGTAATTTATGGAGAAAAATGGTTTAATTGACTCACAGTTCTGCAGACTGTTCAAAAGTCATCAGGAAACTTACAGTCGTGGCAGAAGGGTGAAAGGATGTCCTACCATGGTGGAGCACAAGAAAGAGAGCAAAGGGGGAAGTGCTATGCACTTTAAAAAAAAACAAATCTTATGAAAACTCACTTGCTATCATGAGAACAGCAAGAGGGAAATCTGCCCCCATGATCCAATCATCTCACACCAGGTTCCTCCCCCATCATTGGGAATTACAATTTGACATGAGATTTGGGTGGGGACACAAAGGCAAGCCATATTACTCAGGCTCTGGCCCCTCCCAAATCTCATGTTCTTCTCACATTTCAAAATATAATCATGCCTTTCCAACAGACCCTCAAAGTCTTAACTCATTCCAGCATTAACTCAAAAGTCCAAGTCCAAAGTCTCATCTGAGACAAGGTAAGTTCCTTCTGCCTATGAGTTTGTAAAATCACAAAAAAGTTAGTTACTGCCAAGACACAATGAGGGCACAGGCATTGGGTAAATGCCCCCATTCCAAAAGGGAGCAACTGGCTAAAACAAAGGGACTACAGGCTCCATACAAGTCCAAAAACCAGCAGGGCAGTCATTAAATCTTAAAGTTAAAAAATAATTTCCTTTAACTCCATGTCATGCATCCAGGCCACACCGATGCAAGCGGTGGGTTCCCAATGCCTTGAGCTGCTCCACCCCTGTGGCTCTGCAGGGTAAACCCCTGCAGCTGCTTTCATGGGCTGACATTGAGTGCCTGTAGCTTTTCCAGGTGCATGGTGCAAGCTGTCAATGGATCTGCCATTCTGGGGTCTGGAGGACAGTGGCTCTCTTCTCACAGCAATACTAGGCAGTGCCCCAGTGGGACTCTGTGTGGGGGCTCCAACCCCACATTTCCCCTCCACATTGCTCTAGTAGATGTTCTTGAGGTCTCTGCCCCTGCAGCAGACTTCTGCCTGGACATTTAGGCATTACCATACATTCTCTGAAATCTAGGCAGAGGCTCCCAAACCTCAACTCATGCCTTCTGCATACCCACAGGCCCAACACTACATAAAAGCCACCAAGGCTTGGAGCTTACAGCCTCTGAAGCAGTGAACTGAGCTGTATCTTGGCCCCTTTTAGCCACAGCTGGAAGTGGAGTGGCTGGAATGCAGGGCACCATGTCCAGAGGCTGCACAGGGCAGCAGGACTTTGGGCCTGGCCCATGAGGTCATTTTCCCCTCCTAGGCCTCCAGGCCTGTGATGGGAGGGGCTGCCTCCAAGGTCCCTGAAATGCCCTAGAGGCATTTTCCCTATTGTCTTGGCTATGAACATTTGGCTCCTCTTTATTAATGCAAATGTCTGCAGCCTTGAATTCCTCCTGAGAACATTTTTGTTGTTGTTGTTGTTGTTGTTTTTCTTATCACATGGTCAGGCTGCAAATTTTCCAAATATAAGTTCTAGTTTCAGGTAATTCATTTGTTTACGCAAATGAGCTTAGGCTTTTAGATGCAGCCAGGCCACATCTTGAACACTTTGCTGCTTAGAGATTTATTCTGCCAAATACCCTAAATTATCTCTCTCATGTTTAAAGTTCCATAGATCTCTAGAGCAGGGCACAACACCACCAGTCTCTTTGCTAAAGCATAGCAAGAGTGACCCCTTTACTCCAATTCCCAGTAAGTTTCTCATCTCCATTTGAGACCATCTCATGCTGGACTTCACTGTCTATATCACTATGAGCATTTTGATCACAACCATTTGACAAGTCTCTAGGAAGTTCCAAAGTTTCCCTCATCTTCCTGTCTTTTTTCTGAGCCCTCCAAACTGTTCCAACCTCTGCCCATTACCCAGTTCCAAAACCACTTTCATATTTTCAGGTATCTTTATAGCAATGCCCTGCTTCTCTAGTACCAATATTCTATATAGTCCATTCTCACTGGAAGCATGACTGAAAGGTCTCAGGAAACTTACAATCATGGCAGAAGGGTGAAGGGGAACCAAGCATGTCTTACCATAGCAGAGCAGGAGACACAGAGCAAGACAGAAGGTACTACACATTTTAAACAACCAGATCTCATGAGAACTCACTCATCGTCATGAGAACAGCAAGGGGAAAATCTGCCCCCATGATCCAATCACCTCCCATCATGCCCCTCCCCCAACATTGGGAATTACTATTCGACATGAGATTTGGGTGGAAACACAGACCCAAATCATATCTTGCCTTGGTGTAGAAGACACCATATGCAATGAATGTGCGGATTAGAAAAGGGGCCAGACTAGGAAAACCTCCCATGAATTGATCATTTTATTTCCTCACTTTTATTATAGCTTGCATTTCCTTCCCTACCTCCAGAGGTATGATTTTGAAAACTAAATCCAAAGAAAGACAAAAGCTATTGGTGGTTCCCACAGATGGCTGTTTCTCAAAGGGTTTACAAAATCTGACTGATTATCAGAGATGTCTGAGGAGGGCTGTCAATGCAAAACTGTGGTTCTCAAAGGGGTGATCCCTGGACCAGCAGTATCAGCAACACCTGGGAGCTTGTTATGAATGCAGATTCTCAGATGACAACTCAGACTCACTGAATCAGAAACGCTGGGGTTGGGTCCAGCCATCTGTAGTTTTATAGGCGATTTTAAAGAAAGGTAAAATTTGAGAGACCCTGAGAGCATCTCAGGTCCTGCTACTGAAGAGTTGGGAGGTCTATAGGGGCCCAAGTTTCAGAATGTTAACAAGATCCCCCTAGTAGATGCTAAAGACTACCAGATGGCCTCAAGAGTCTGAAGCCATTTGTCTTTCTTTCTAGGAATATAAATGACAAAGACACCACTAACTGAGGAGGATCTCTCCTCCTACCCTGCTCTATTTTCTGTCTTGTTGATCTCACTCTGGACTCAAGGCAGTTGAATCTGTTCCCCAAAAGTCTATTTCCCTGTGATGCTCTGGTGTTAACAGAGGATTGCACATAGTTTCTTGGTGGAAAAAAATGAATCAAATTTCTGCTTTTTCAGCCTAAATCATATATTCTTTTTAGATATCATTTTCCAATTATTAAAAACAAACTTTGCACAATTGTTCCAGATTTCTCACTTTGTCAGCAGGGGTTTCATGAAGATATTTATAAAAGCTTTGAGAATCATTAAGGCCATAGCCACCTGATCCAGGAAATACAACCTTGGGTTGGCCACAGGCTAAGTGAGCCCTGGTACACAGGTAGAGATCAAGGTTCCTTCGAGTTTGACTGTTTGCCTCAAACCCACATCCCATGCCCCTGCCCTGTCTGTCTTAGTCCTGAAAGCTACAGAAACAATACTACATCTTCAGACTAAGATTTGGTCTTTTGGTCTTAGAACTCTCCCTACAGCAACCCCTCTGCCTTTTCTTTTTTTACTGTAGTAAAATATACATAACATAAAATTTATCATTTTATTTATTTATTTATTTATTTATTTTGACACAGGGTCTCACTCTCTTGCTCAGGCTGGAGTGCAGTGGTGTGATCTCAGCTCACTGCAGCCTCGACCTCCCTGGACTCAGGTGATCCTCCCATCTTACCCTTCTGAGTAGCTGGGACTATGGGCATCTGCCACCATGCCCGGCTAATTTTTGTATTTCTTGCAGATGGGGTTTCACTATGTTGACCAGTTAGTCTCAAACTCCTGGGCTCAAATGATCTGCCCTCCTAAATTTACCATTTTAACCAGTTTTAAGTGTACAGTTCAATGGCATTAAGCACGTTCATATTGTTATGCAACCATCCCAACCATCTATCTTCAGAATTTTTTTATCCCAAATTGACATTCTGGACCCATTAAACACTCATTACCCCCTCCTCCCAGCTTCTGGTAAGCCCTAGTTTACTTTCCTTCTACATGAACTTGACTATTCTGGATATCTCTTATAAGAAGAATCATACACGCCAGGTACAGTAGCTCATGCCTGTAATCCCAGCACTTTGGCAGGCCTAGGCAGGTGGATCACTTGAAGTCAGGAGTTCAAGACCCACCTGGCCAATATGGTAAAACCCTGTCTCTACTAAAAATACAAAAATTAGCCAGGCATGGTGGCGGGCACCTGTAATCCCAGCTACTTGAGAGGTTGAGGCAGGAGAATCACTTGAGCCAGGGAGGCGAAGGTTGCAGTGAGCAGAGATCGTGCTATTATGTTCCAGCCTAGGAGACAGCGCGAGACTCTGACACAAAAAAAAAAAAAAAAAAAAAAATTATCATGCAATGTTTGCCCTTATGTGTTTGGCTTACTTCACTCATTTAGCATAATGTTCTTAAGGCTGATAGAAGCTGTAGCATGTATCAGAATTTTGTTCTTTCTTAAGGCTGAAAAATATTCCATGGCATATATATACCACATTTTTTAATCCTTTTATTTTGATAGACATATGAGTTATTTTCACTTTTTGTCTATTGTAAATAATCCTGCTATGCACATGGGTGTAAAAGTATCTGTTCTGCTACCTTCTTTCAGTTCTTTAGAGGTATATATGTAGAAGTGGGACCTCTGAATCATGTGGTAATTCTATGCTAATTTTTGAGGAACTGCTAGACTATTTTCCACAGTGCTGCACCATTTCACATTCCTGCCAGCAAGGCACAAAGGTTCTAATTTGTCCACATCCATGTCCACATCCATCTTGGGAGCATTTGTAAAAGGTATTTATTTCCTGGCAACAACTTAAGGAAGAAACAGTGTCTTGCTCTTGTCTGTCATGCTAGCAATGAGCACAGAGCCTCATACAGAGCAAGTTGAGTGTATGTTTTGCAGATTGACATGGATGGAGGGAGATAACACCCATTTAGTCTTTCTTTCATTAAATCCCTAGAAATCCCCGCGTGTGGGGCCTCCCTACTTTTTGTATTCCCATAGTAATTTAAACTCCTCTTAAACTACACATCACATTTTACTTTACTCAATTTTCAGAGTCATGGGACTTACATCTTATTTTTCTCTAAGACTATGAGTCTCTTAAGGGGAGAATATGAAGATAGGCTCTCCTTGAGTTGTTTACAACTTTCTCGTTCTTCATGACCTAAGTCTTCTTTCCCCAGAATACCTTTTTTAACCACTGGGCTCAGAGAACTTTTGCCCCACTGAGTAACAGTTTTTACTAAATTGGCCTGATCATTGACAGCCTCAATCAATATCAAATGCCTCAATGAATCAAAAACTAAAGGAATAAATGAGCAAACAAATAACCCATTTAACATAAATTATTCTCTAAGTTAACACAAGTTACTGACTACCCACCATGTGCTAGGTGCTTGGGAATATCAGAGGAATAACACACCATCCTTGCCCTTCAGAAAAACATCTAATATTATTTATCTCATTAATAGGAGGCTGTGTAGGTAACCATGAGATTGCAAAGAGACCAGACAGTGTCCCAAATAAGGGAATAAGATGCAAGGTATATAAAACTCTTCATGGAGTAGATACTTTTTGAGCTGAATCTTTAAAAAGCAGAGTTTTCCAAATATACAAAGCAGAGACTTTGCATTCCAAGCAAAAGGAATGGGAGGAGGAAAATACAAAACCGTAAAATAGACTGACCTTGTTAGAAGCCTACAAGTGGGGCAGCCCTGTTGAAGTGGAGAGGTGGAGAGTGAAAAGAATGTGTGGCAAGCTGTGACTTCCTTATCCAGACACATCTCATCCGGCTGATACACATACCCATATTCCTGTCACGTTGATCACTGTGTTCACCAAACATGCAATGTTTGCCCCTGCCTCTGTTTGTGTCAACCCCACCTTCCTACTTGGAATGCTTGTCCTCACTTCCTTTTTCTGGATCCATGAGTATCTAGTTTTGTGACCCACAAACCTAGATATGGTTTGATGAGTCAACTAATTATTCAGGACAGAGAGTGATCACTGAGAAAAAGAGGAGAATAAAAGTCAAAAGAGATTCTGAAGATTATGCAAACTACTTTGGTTTGCTCTAGGTTTGAGTTATCAGTGTTATGACTAGAGATTCATACAATGCTGAAGAGACAAAGAAATAATTCTAACACTTCCATTCAAGATGGTAGACTGAGCATATACACTACCTTCAGCTCCTTCCAGAAACTCCAGTAATGTGTCAATAAACTGATTTTTTTACAAGAACAAGAACAATCGGTGAAAAGGACAATTGCAACAAAATTTTGACAGCTATGGAGCAGTAGGACCGTGGATTAGTGGCTTGGCTGAGTCCAGAAAGCTGTATCCTAAGCCAGTGTTGGAGAAAGCTTCCAGAAACAGAAGAAATCTCAAAAGGTTCTGGAATTTGTGGCTCTATATACATCTAAAAGTGGAGATACAGGTGAAGTTAAAAACAGGAGAATCAATTAAAATTATATTTGATGCTGTAAAACCCTAGATTTCTTCCTTCACTTCGGCAGAAGAATAAAGACTTATTCTCTGTTGATTGCAAAACAGAGGCTCTCTTGGCATATGAAGAGAAGTATAGCTGAGAAGAAGAAAAAGTTGAACCCCCACCCCTAACCCTACCACCATTCAGCTCTCTTCTCTCACTTAGCCTCAGAAAGGGAAGCCACACTTACAAAGCTTAGCAGGAGTTTGGAAGAGCCTCCTTTGGGGAAGCTGACCAGTCCAAGAATAAACCTAGAGGCACTGACATGAAGGGTTCCTGCAACATAAAACTCAACAAGAGTTGCACTCTAAGAGCAACCCAAGTTGATAAGCCTTATGCTCCCCATACAAACACCAACAGCTACCAATGAACATTTTGGTGCCCCATTCTTAAAAATAATTGGAGAGCTCAGTGTCACTACTGTCTTGTACATTTCAGCTTTGATAAACTTTCAACATTTTGATCAGCTGTAGCCTCCTTCTGGCCTGATCAGATTTGCATAGCAAAGAAACATTTAAGCTACCAACTAGTCGGTACATACAGGCAAAGTGTCAATGTGATGAAATCAGTAGGCAGAAGCCATCTTTGCATTTGAGGTCGTCGTTAAGACCCTCTGTATCTTTTTTTTTTTTTTTTTTTTCGACACAGAGTCTCACTGTCACCAGGCTGGAGTCCAGTGGCACGATCTTGGCTCACTGCAACCTCCACCTCCCGGATTCAAGCAATTCTCCTGCCTCAGCCCCCCAAGTAGCTGAGATACAGGCACGCACCACCACCCCCAGCTGATTTTTGTATTTTTAGTGTGGATGGGTTTTCTCCATGTTGGCCAGGATGGTCTCGATCTTATTGACCTCAAGAGATCCACCTGCCTCAGCCTCCCGAAGTGCTGGGATTACAAGCGTGAGCCACTGTGCCTGGTTGACCCTCTGTATCTTAATGAGAATGGTGGTCTGAGAAGCCACAGAGCTGTAGTCTAGAAGCTGTGCTTTTGTGCAATCTCTAAAACAATATTTAATCTTTTTTATTTAAAAAAATGTTTATTGCTACATAGTATTTTAAATATTTATGGGGTACATGTGATATTTTGTTAGATAGAATGCATGCATAATGATCAGGTCAGGGTATTATGGTATGTATTACATTGATTATAATTTCTAGATGTTGGGAACATATCAAGTTCTCTCTTCTAAGAGCTACTTGAACTATACAATGCATTGTTGTTAACTATAGACACCCTATTCTGCTATCAAACATTAGAACTTATACCTTCTATCTGTCTGTATGTTTGTGCCTATTGGCCAACCTCTCTTCATTCCCCCGCTCACCCACACACCATTTGCAGCTTCTGATATTTATCATTCTATTCTCTACCTTCATGAGATCAAGTTTTCTAGCTCCCACATGTGAGTGATAACGTGTGAAATTTGTCTTTCTATGTCTGGCTTATTCCACTTACCACAATAACCTCCAGTTCCTGTAAATGACAGGATTTCATTCTTTTTTATGCCCAAATAATATTTCATTGTGTATATATGTCAAATTTTCTTTAGTAATTCATCCATTGATGAACATTCAGTTTGATTCATATTTTTGCTATTGTGAATAGTCCTACAATAAACATGCAAGTGCAGATATCCCTTTGATATGCTGATTTATTTTCCTTTGGAAATCCCAGTAGTGGTATTGCTGCATCATTTGGTAGTTCTATTTTTAGTTTTTGAGAAATCTCTATTTTGTTTTCCATAATGGTTGTACTAATTTATATTCCCATCAACAGTGCATAGGAGATCCCTTTTCTCTGTATCCTCATCAAAATCTGTAATTTTTTTTCTTATTAGTAATAGCCATTCTAACCAGAGTAAGATGATATCTCATTGTGGTTTTGATTTGCATTTCCCTGATAATTATGTTGAGAATTATTTCATATACATGTTAGCCATTTGTATGTCTTCTTTTGAAAAATGTCTATTAATGTCCTTTGCCCACTTTTTAATGGAATTACTTGTTTCTATACTATTGAGTGGTATTCTGGATATTAGTCTCTTGTTAGGTGAATGATTTGCAGATATTTTCTCCCATTCAACAAGTTTTTCATCATTCTACTGATTGTTTTCTTTGTTGCAAAGAAGACTTCTAATTTAACAGACTTCCATTTGCCTATTTTTGTTTTCATTGTCTGTGCTTTCAAGGTCTTAGTCATAAAATCTTTGTCTAAACCATTGTCCTGAATTGTTTTCTCTATGTTCTCTTCTAGTAGTTTTATAGTTTCAGATCTTACTAAGTCTTTAATCCATCTTTAGTTGATTTTTGTTTATGGTGAGAGATAGGGATCCAGTCTCATTCTTCTGCATACGGACATTCAATTTTTCCAGAGCTATTATTGAAGAGTGTGTCTTTACCCCAGTATATGTTCTTGACACCTTTATCAAAAAGCAGTCAGCTATAGATGCATGGAATTATTTCTAGATTCTCTATTCTGTCCATTGATCTGTGTGTCTGTTTTCATACCAATACCATTCTGTTTTGCCTTGTAGTATATTTTGGATAGTGTGATGCCTCCAGCTTTGTTCTCTCTTGTTCAGAATTGCTTTGGCTATTTGAGCACTTTTTTGATTCCATACTTATTTTGGGATTATTTTTTCTATTTCATGTAAAAAATGACATTGGTATTTTGATAAGAATTCCACTGAATCTGTAGATTGCTTCGGGCAGTATGGCCATTTTAATAATATTAATTCTTCTGATACATGAGCAGGGGATGTCTTTTTATTTGTTTATGTCCTCTACAATTTCTTTCATTCACGTTTTGTTATTTTTCATGTAGAGATGTTTTACACCCTTGGTTAAATTTATTCCTAGGCATTTTATTTTATTTTTGTAGCTATTGGAAATGCAATTGCCCTCGGCATTCCTTTCTCAGTTCAGTATGAATGTACAGAAATGCTACTAATTTTTGTATGTTGATTTGTATCCTGCAAGTTTACTGAATTTATTTATCAGACCTAAGAGTTGTTTGGTGGAGTCTTTAGTTTTTTTCTAGCTATAGGATCATATCGTCAACAAAGAGGTACAATTTGATTGCTTTTCCAGTTTGGATGCCTTGCCTTTTATTTCTTTCTCTTGCCTGATTGCTCTGGCTAGGACTTCCAGTACTATGTTGACTAGGAGTCACAAAAGTGGGCCATACAGTATGATGTTTTGTTAGCTTTGGATTTGCCATATATGGCCTTTTTGTTTTGAGGTATTTACCTTCTATGCCCCATTTGTTTACGGTTTTTATCACAAAGCGATGTTGAATTTTATCAAATACTTTTTCTACATCTTTTGAGAGGGTCATATGGTTTTTGTCCTTCATTCTGTTGATGTGATGTATCACATTTATTTCCCTATGTTGAACCATCCTTGCAACCCTGGAGAAAATTCCACTTGATCATGGCATATATATGTATATATATATATATATTTTTTGATGTGCTGTTGGATTCAGTGTGCTCAATTCTTGAGAATTGTTGCATCTATGTTCATTAGGGATAATGGCCTGCAGTTTTTTTCTTGTCATTGCATTCCTGTCTGGTTTGGGTGTTAGGGCAATGGTGGTCTTATAGAATGAGTAAAAGGGAGAATTACGTCCTCTTTCATTTTTTAGAATAGTTTGAGGACAATTCGTATTATTTCTTCTTTGAAAGTTTGGTAGGATTTAGCAGCTAAGTCATCTGGTCCTGCATTTTACTTTTGGGGGAGACTTTTTATTACAGATTCAATCTCATTATTTGTTATTGGTCTGTTCAGATTTCCTATTTCTTCCCAATTCAATCTTGGTAGATTGTATGTGTCCAGGACTTTATCTATTTCCTTTAGGTTTTCTAGGTTGTGCACATGCATTTGTTTGTGACAGTCTCTGATCATCATTTGTATTTCTGTGGTATCATTGCAATGTCTCCATTTTTATTTCTGATTTTGTTTACTTGGGTCTTTTCTCTCTTTGGTTAGTCTACCAAGTGGTTTATCAGCTTTGTTTATATTTTTAAGAAGGCAGCTTTTCGTTTTGTTGATGGTTTCGTTTAGATTGTTTTATAGTCTCTATTTCTTCAAGTTCTGCTCTGATCTTTTTGTTGTTGTTGTTCCTTCTATTAATTTTGGGTTTGGTATCTTCTTGCTTTGCTAGGCCCTTCGGTGCATTGTTGACGGTTTATTTACTTGAAATATTTCCACTTTTTTTATGTTGCCATTTATTGCTATAAAATTCTCTCTTGGGATTATTTTTGCTATATCCCATACATTTTGATATGCTATGTTGTGGTTTTCATTTGTTTCAAAAAAGGTTTTCAACATTGGTGCAAAAGTAATTGCAGTTTCGAACTGTGAATTTTAAATCATTATAACTAGGCTCAAACACATCTTTATTAAAGAAAATAGGAACCATTACAATCAACACGTTTTTGCAAACAATAAATAAGTTTGTTCCTTCCTGTAGCATAAAAATGCATGCTTCAGGATTCGATGAACTCTTGGGAAGCATTTTCTGCATTCTGCTGGTTGTGGAAGCATTTTATTTGCAAAAAGTCATTAGGATGCTTGAAGAAGGGGTTGTTGATTGGTGAGAGGTCAGGGGAATATGGCAGATGAGGCAAAACTTTGTAGCCTAATTTGTTCAACTTTTGAAGCATTGGTTGTGCAACGTGCTGTCAAGTGTTGTTGTGGAGAGTTGGGCCATTTCTGTTAACCAATGCAGGCTGCAGGCATTGCAATTTTCAGTGCATCTCATTGATTTGCTGAGCATACTTCTCAGATGTAATTGTTTCACTGGGATTCAGAAAGCTGTAGTGGATCAGACTGGCAGCAGACCACCAAACAGGGACCATTACTTTTTCTGGTGCAAATTTGGCTTTGGGAAGTGTTTTGGAGCTTCTTCTCAGTCTAACCACTGAGTTGGTCATAGCCAGTTACCGTATAAAAGCCACTTTTCATCGCACATCACAATCCGATCAAGAAATGGTTCATTGTTGTTGTACGGAACAAGAGAAGACAGCACTTCAAAATAAAGATTTTTAAAATCTTCAGTCAGTTCATGAGGCAACCATTTATGGAGCTTTCTCACCTTTCAAATTTGCTTCAAATGCCAAATGACCATAGAATGGTTGATGTTGAGTTCTTTGGCAACTTCTCGTGTAGTTGTAAGATGATTATCTTCTACGATTGCTCTCAATTGGTCATTGTCAACTTCCAGTGTCTGCCGCTGTGCTTTTCATCTTCAAGTCTCTCATCTCCTTTGAAAAACGTCTTGAACCATTACTGCACTGTATTTCATTAGCAGATAGTGGGCAAAATGTGTTGTTAATGTTGTGAGTTGTCGCCACTGCTTTACAACCCATTTTGAACTGAATAAAAAAATCATTCAAATTTACTTTTTGCCTAACATTATTTCCAGGGTTTAAAATAAACATAAAATAAACAGCAAGTAATAAGTCACTAGCAAAAAAACATAAAGCAAGAAGTACCCATTAAAATGATGTATAATACAACCAAATTTATTTAAGAATGTATTCCAATATCAAATAGCAAATTCCAACAATGCAAAAATTGCAATTACTTTTGCACTCACCTAATATATCCTCCTTAGTTTACTTCGTAACCCAATGGTCATTCAAAAGCATGTTGTTTAATTTCTATGTATTTGTACTTTTTCTAAAGTTCCTTTTGTATTGATTTTCAGTTTTATTCCATTGTAGTCTCAGAAGATACTTGGTATGACTTTGAGTTTTTAAAATTTTGTTAAGACTTGCTTTGTATTCTAACATACGGTCTATTCTGGAGAATGTTTTGTGTGTTGATGAGAATATGTATTCTGTAGCCATTGAATGAAATGTTATGTAAATGTCTTTTAGATCCATTTGGTCTAACGTGCAGTTTAAATCTGAAGTTTGTTGAATTTTTGTCTAGATGATCTGCCTAATACTGAAAGTGGGATGGTAAAGTCCTCAACTATTATTGCATTAGAGTCTATCTCTCTCTTTGGATCTAATAATATTTGTTTCACATATCTCAGCACTCTGATGTTGGGTGCATCTATGTTTAGAACTGTTATATCCTCTTGCTGAATTCATCCTTTTATCATTATATAATGACCTTCTTTATCTCTTTTTACTGCTTTTTGACTTAAAGTCTGTTTTATCTGATAAAAATATAGTTACTCCTACTCACTTTTAGTCTCCATTTGAATGGAATATCATTATCTATCCCTTAACTTTCAATACATATGTGTCTTTACAGGTGAGATGAGTTTCTTGTAGATAACATATAGTTGGGTCATGTTTTTTAATCCATTTAATCAGTCTATATCTTTTAAGTGCAAAGTTTAATCAGTTTACATTCATGGTTATTGCTGATATGTGAGGGCTTATTTCTGTCATTTTATTAAGTAATTTCTGGTTATTTTGTATATCTTTTGTTCCTCTCTCTTTCTCTCATATTGTTTATCATTGTGGTTTGGTAGTGTTCTGTAGTGGTAATATTTTAGTTTTTTCTCTTACTTGTTTATGAGCTTGTTGTGCCAGTGGTTTTTATATTTTCATGTCTTCATGATGGTAGTTATTGTTCTTTCACTTCCAAGTGTAGCACTCAATTAAGTATTTCTGGTAAGGTCAGTCTAGTGGTAATGATTTTCCTCAGCTTTTGCTTAGAGAATAAAAAAATTATTTATCATTCCCTTATAAAAGATAACTTTGCTGAGTATAGTATCCTGGGTTGCCAGGGTTTTTTTCTTTTTTTCAGCACTTTTAATATATCATCCCATCCTCTGCTGCCTGTGTTTTCTGCTGAGATATCTGCTGTTAGTCTCATGGGGGTTCCTTTATAAGTTGCTAGGGGCTTTTCTTTTGCTGTTTGTAAAAATTTACTTTGTCTTCGACTTGACAGTTTGACCATAATGTGCCATGGAGGAGATTTTTTTGAATTGTATTTATTTGAGAATCTTTGTGCCTCCTGTATCCAGATGTCTAATTTTTAAATAAACTTGGGAAGTTTTCATGTATTGTTTCATTAAATATGTTTTCTTACCCTTTCATTTTCTTTTTGTCTTCTGGGCCAAAAATTCAAATATGTGGTCATTTTACAGTGTCCCATATATAAATTTAAGCTTTGCTCATTCTTATGTACTCATTTTTATCTGACTGGATTTTGCAAAAAACCTATCTTCTAGTTCTAAGATTCTTTCTTCTGCTTGATCTAGTCTATTGTTGCAGCTCTTGAATGTATTTTGTATTTAAATTAATTAATTTTTTATGTACAGAATTTCTATTTGGTTATTTTTTATAATATCTATCTCTTTGGTAAATTTCTCATTCATATCATGAATTGCTTTTCTGACTTTTTTGTATTGCTTTTCAGATTTCATAAATTTCTTTTTGATTGTTATCTGTTGCTAGAGAATTCTTGTGTTCCTTTGGAGGTGTCATAGTTCCTTGTTTTTTTATGTTTCCTGTGTCCTTATGTTGATATCTGCACATCTAGCATAACAGTCTCTTCTTCCAATTTTTTAATTTGATTTTTTGGGGAAGGACATTTTCCTGAAGATGTATCTGTGGAGTTGGTTGAGTATGGTACTTTGGCTTTGATTCTGGGATTGTGCAGTAGTGTAGTCTCTGTATGATTTCTTTGGCTAAAAACAGCATCAGTGGTATCTGTGATTTCCTCAGTGGCTTAGGGTGCAGTTGTTAGTGGAGGCAGTGGTGAAGTTCTGCTGGGGACTGAGACACCATGTGGGCCAGTCTTCAGGGCCCATTGATGGCAGCAGCAGGCTGAGCATGCCTATCCTTGGGCACCAGGGTTGTATATGCTGGCATGTGTTAGCCAGTCCAGGAAGTCTGATTATTGGCCTTCAAGGTGGCTTGCTCAGGTGCCAGGAATGACAGTGGTGGGCTGGGCAGGTGGATTATTGAGCCCCTGGGCAGCAGGTGTGGCATGGGCAATCACAGTAGCAGTGGTGGGACAATCTTTGGGACCCAAGAGATCCCTGCTGTTTTTGATGATGGCTACAATGGGCTGGATGGGCCAGTCCCCAGGTCTGCAGGTGGCACATGCAGATGAGTGGCAGCTGTGGTGGTAGTAACAGGTTCAGGGGGTTCAACCTCAAATACCAGAAGGACTGCTCAGGTGTCAACAGTGGTAGGCTAGATTGGGTGATACCCACCCCCCTGGATGGTGTGCTCAGGTACTCAAGTTTCAGTCTTTGAGGATGAACCTCCTACAGTCATGTGTTGCTTAACAACAGGAATATGGTCTGATAAATGCATCGTTAGATGATTTCATTGTTGTGCAAACATCACACTTACACAAACCTAGGATGGTGTAGCCTACTATGAACCTAGGCTATGTGGTATAGCCTATTGCTCCTAGGCTACAAGCCTGGACAGCATGTTACTGTACTGAGTACGGTAGGCAATTATAACATTATGGTAATTATTTGTGTACCTAAACATATCTGAACATGGGAAAGGTACAGTAAAATATAGTACAAAAGATTTTTTTTTAATGGTACATTTATATAGGGCGCTTACCACGAATAGAGTTTGCAGGACTGAAAGTTGGTCTGGGTGAGTCAATGAGTGAGGGGTGAGTGAATGTGAAGGCCTAAGATATTACTGTATAGACTTTATAAACACAGTACACTTAGGCTACACTAAATTTATGAGAAAAATAAAGTAATTGCACAATGACGTGGTGGGAACAGGGAATAAGAATTTTTCAGCTCTATTATAATCTTATGGGACCACCATTATATAAGTGGTCCATCGTTGATGGAAATATCCTCATGTGGGGCATGACTATGATTTGTAAAGCAACTGATAACTGTTGGAAGATAGCGAGTGGAGAGAACCGTTTTCCAAACTGCCCCTTACCCATCGCAGTCAGCCCCTAACACAGGCCCCCACTAATTCTTTTGAGCCTGTTGACAGCCGACTCCTTAATGCTTGTGTCTATCTCTGACATCCATTGTGCGCTCCCCGCTAACATACTTACAGCTCCATGGCAAGGTGAGATCAGAGCTGTCCAGAGGAGATTAGTAAAGCAGACAGGAGGACAGGTTAAGCTGCCCCTGACCTCTTATCCCACTCCCGGCACCCAGACCCCACCCCGTAGTTTGCTCTTGGGTGTGCAGAGGTGCTCTCTCCTCTTCCCTTCTGTTGTGCTTTCCCCAAATGACCAAGCAGACCTATTTTATCAATATTGAAAATCAAGCAAGTTGCACTCTACAGATGCCCTCTCTGGCTGGGGATCTTTCTCTGATGAAGTTTGGTGTGGCTGCCAAGTATGGAGAGTGCAGAAGAGGCCACAGATACTGCTTCATGAGCTCAACAAGACCTAAGCTTTTGAACAGTGCTTTGCAGCACCAGAGAAGCTTTAGGTACATAATGAGATTCTCTCTGCCTGGCTTCTTGAAAATCCCAAGCATAAGTATTGCAAGTCAGCGTGGTTCTGCAGGAAGAGTATGGGTTAGAAGGTAGGAAGCCTGGGCCCTGCATGGCACCAGGGATGACAAGTCCCATTCCCTTTAGATTTTAGTTTCCTCATCTATGGCATCCCATGCCTAGATGCATCTTTAAGGCTCCACTCCTTTTAGCATCCTGTGTTTCTAAGAAGAGTCTTTGAGAAAACTGAGATGTACACTGGGAATGGCCACCAGGAAGGCAGGCCAGAAGGTGTTTGCCTGATGACCCTTTGGTAATTGGCAACAATGTATTTCTCCTTTTATACTTTCCAAGAATTCTAATGGACCATCAAGTATCAAATCAGGACCATTGGAACGTCTCTAAATGAGTTATCTTTAATCTTCCTCCATTCTTAAGTCTTGCTCGTTTAAGTTCAGCTGAAATTGCATCCTACTCTGTGGTTTGTAGAAAAAGTCCACAGTGGTTTTTGTCTCCTGGTTTCAATTTAGGGTCCACTCTCCTCTAATCACTGGATGCCAGTGTGTTTTCTAATAATTCCTGTTTTGCCAGTTTCTGAGTTAACAGACTTCCTCTGCCGCTGGGTCTGAAGCTCTGTCCTGCCAGTGGCAGCTGAGACACTTCAGCCTTAATTATGAGATATCTTTCTAAGTCCTGGATGAAGCCAAAATAACAATTAGCTTCATATAAATATTGAGCCAGGACATTTCCTTCTCGTGTTCTGGAGAAGGTATGAGCTTGTCCTGGTAAAATGCCTGGGCATATACAAAATTTCATTTCCTGCAGATGGTTGAATCCTGAATCCTAACCAGAGTTCCTCAAAGAGCATTCCCTGAGAGTCTTGTGGAGGTGTGCAGGGTCACTTTGGGGGCTGCTCCCCCCATGCCACATGTGTTGGGCATTTTGTGGTGGTGGTAGTTCTCTGGGTCAGCACCACCCCTGCTGCCCATATGCCTAGTGATACTTTGCAATACTGGCTGCCCTACAGTCTGTGGTTATGTCTATTGGGACAGTTTGCTGTGGGATCCTCAGGCTCAGTTTCATCTTGGGGATCTGCTGCCCTCCAAGCGAATCACACTGTTTGTTTATTTTGTTTGTCTGTTTGTTTGTTTTGGTAATGCAAATACCCAGGCCATTTCCTGAATTGGTCTTTGAGCTTAATTCAATACACTCAGAAGCAATTGCCTGGGCTATCTAGATTAATCTGATTGTGTCCCCAGAGCCTTCTACTCAAAACAATCTGCTTAATGTCTGAGTTTTAAGAGTTAACTCCTAACACTGCTGACAGCCTGGCTCTCTGCTATATCAGTGTGCTCTGCACAGAGATGCAGCCACACAAAGCCACACTGCTTATTGCTGAGAAAATCCTAAGTCATTCAGTACCAGGGTTCCTAGCCCAAATCTCCAAGACTACAGGGGCCAAATCAGGAAAAAATATTCTCAACTCTGGGTAATATCCCTGAAAGCCAGTATAAGCATTCCTTTATTTTATAGGATCTTATCCCTACAGAAAACAGGGGGGAAAAAAGCAAGAAATACAGTGCCCCAGGCTGGATCCTCTGGAAGCAGATACTGAGAGGGAGTTTGGAGAGCAAGACGTTTATTAGGGATCAATGCCTGTGAAGGAGGAGGACTGGGCAGAGGGAGAAGTTTAACTGTAATGCAGGCCCAGCAAAGCCTCCACTATCCAATAGACGCTCTCTGGAGAGTGTATTATCCCTCACAGCTTCCCATGTTGGAGAGAAATGGCTGGGCTTTTGTGCCCCTCTTGCCTTGCACAGGCACCTGATACAGGCTGCCCCCAAATCAGGCACCTGTACTGACACCTTACATGAAGTATCATTCTCTGCAGCTGCAGGAGACTTAAAAATAGCTGAAGGTTGTCCGTTGACCTTGGTCCTTATGACTGGCAATGAGTCTTTTCTTGAAGGATCTGGGTGGCACATCTGTACGTCTATCTCTGGGAGGGTTATGAAAAAAGTTTATAGCACTGATAGTCACTGCTCCTGATCTGTAACTCGTGGTTCCACTAAAGCCTCTGTTGGATGTCCAAGGATGGGTTGCAGCAAATCTTCCCTCTCCCTCAGAAAAAGCATTCAAGACTGATGTAGGAGGTGGACCAGATAATGCTGCCACCCCAGACTGTGTCTCTGGTAGGCATCTGACATCTGCAAGCATGGAAACCTGGAGTGCTGTTCAGTCCCCTGGGCCTCTGGCCAGTTCAGAACAAGGAACTTGGAGCATTTCCTCCCAGCACTAGGCTGGATGCATCTCTTAGTTCAGCTCAAGTCTCTTTGCACCTGACAGCCAATACTGCAGTGATGGAATAAGGAGGTGAACTTCTCTGCTTTCATTAGATGTGACTCTTACTGTAAAATGTGGTTAGAAATGAGCACATGGGCCGGGCGCGGTGGCTCACGCCTGTAATCCCAGCACTTTGGGAGGCCGAGGCGGGCGGATCACGAGGTCAGGAGATCGAGACCATCCTGGTTAACACGGTGAAACCCCATCTCTACTAAAAATACAAAAAATTAGCCGGGCGTCTGTAGTCCCAGCTGCTAGGGAGACTGAGGCAGGAGAATGGCGTGAACCCGGGAGACGGAGCTTGCAGTGAGCGGAGATCGCACCACTGCACTCCAGCCTGGGCGACAGAGCAAGACTCCGTCGAACAAAAAAAAAAAAAAAAAAAAAAAGAAATGAGCACTCAGCACATGTTCAATATCTATGAGTAGGCATTGTATGGTATGAAATGGATGACATTTGCTTTCCTTAGACTTCTGCAAAAGTGTTTATTTTTACAAAAGGAGTTTGTCAAACTGCAAATTAGCATGCACATATCCCTTCCTCTTCTCTGCTCCCATCTGGCTTATGCACAGAAATTACACTTCTTCTCAGTTTGCCCAAACTGTTAGCACACAATTCAGCTCCCATTTGCTTGGTGTCAATTTAATATTGCATTAATTAGACAATTAGGGAGGGGCCAAAAAAGATTCTCAGCTGAAGTACTCTAAGTGGGAGTCAGGTTCATTAGAAATTGTTTTTTTAAAAATTTTTAAATAGTTTGGTTTTGACTTAGCACAGAAATGTTAGTTGATTAAAGTCTTAGAAGCTGCTAATGAATTGACTCAATGAGATTAAGGTATTTCCTTGGAATCAGTACTCCAAGAAAAGCATCTGACCCTCCCCACAGTTACTGTGTGCCACCTTGGAAAAAAAGAGTAACTCGTAGCTTTGTTTATAACATGCAAACAGCCAGAAGAAAAGTAAAAGATTCAGTCTGATGGATGAGGCTACAGCTCTCCTTAGTTCCAGCACGATTGCTTTGGATTGTAGTCAAGATCCGGAGAAATCTGTAAGTGCAGTAGAGGGGTCAGGACGCTAGGCTCCAGCTCCAGCATTCTGTAGCTGTAAAATCGGGGGCTGATTGTTTTTCTCTCAGTCTCAATTTCGGCACCTGGGAAGGTGGTGGTAATTATGTCAACTGTGCAGGATCATCACCAGGATCTAAAACAGAGGTTAGGTTACACTGACATGGAATATTCAGACAAAATTGCACAATCTGAAAATGGCATGGAACTTTATAAACCTAGGCAACACGGCCTTGTCCTTCTGTTTTTATTCAAATTTGGCAAACTAGGCACTATTCTATTTAGTAATGATTATGAAACTATCCCTTGTGTTCTGGTACTCTCATAGTATCATGAAATGTTCCCCCTGGAACAAGACTTAAAGCCAGTCTACTCTAATAGCTTCATTTGTGAAATGCTGAAAGAATTGAAGGGGCTTAGAAATACACATGTGGTGTGTTGAGACACTACCCCAGGCCTGTGGCTCACCCACAGGGCTCCAGACACTATGCTGGACCTTTCCCAAACCTGATCATGCTCAGGCAAACCTCGCTAAAAGGAGCTTTGCTCTGGAAATGTTTTCATGGAGATGTCATGAGACTACCTAAAGTGAAAATATATACATATATGTGTGTGTGTGTGTGTGTGTATATATATCTGTGTGTGTACTTTTGTGTATGTATATCTCTCTCTGTCATTGTGTGTATATCTCTGTGTGTGTATGTGTGCATACGTGTCTCTCTCTCTGTGTCTGTGTGTGTATATCTGTGTGTGTGTATATGTGTGCATATGTCTCCCTCTCCATGTGTATCTCTGTGTCTCTGTGTGTGTATGTGTGTGTATATATATCTCTGTGTCTCTGTATGTCTAGGTGTATATATATATAAAATGTTTCTCTGTGTGTTTGTGTATATATATATTTCTGTGTGTATATCTCTCTCTCTGTGTGTGAGTGTATGTGTGTATCTCTGTGTGTGTGTATGTGTCTATCTCTATCTCTGTGTATGTGTATATATATCTCTATCTCTGTGTGTGTTGTATATATATCTCTATCTCTGTGTGTGTTTTATATATATCTCTATCTCTGTGTGTTTGTATGTGTGTGTGTGTGTATATATATATATATATATCTCTATCTCTGTGTCTGCATGTGTCTATCAAACTGAAGAACCTTCTGGACTGGATTTGGGTCAGGGCTCCCTGCCTGAGTCTGTCTACCAGTGGATATTTGGCCTTCTCTGGCTTACCCTCAAACTAAGGTCTGTCGAGATTTCAAAGACAAACTTAACGAAGTTCAAGTCTGCTCTCCAGCCCTGGGTTTTCTGACAGAGCTGAGTTGAGGGCTTTTCTAGTGAGAGCTGACCTCAGTCTTCTATCTTAACATCAGTTCATTACCCTGATTGAGCCTGGAATGTGGGCAGGTGCATGGCTTGCTGCATGTGCTTATGGCCAGGGAGCAGCCCACCCTGGGGTAGCAGAGTGGAAATGGGGTCTGAAACAGAAACCACATTCATTCAGTCAGGTGGAAGCAGGCAGGCATGGCCAGCATCTATCAGAGGGTCCCTGGTAGGAATAGCAAACTTGCTTTTCCACTTCAAATTCTCACACTTAAAACTGAGAACATCAGTTCTTCCCTTTCGCTGTTATAGAGACACTAATGATATGAAAACACACTGGAGAGAAAATGGTACCTGAGATACGCCATTCTAGCCTGTAACAGGAGCATGCAGAGTATGTTTTGAATAAATGAATAAGTAAATGAATTCCCTAAATGCCTAATAATCAAGCCATGATTACATTTATAAATTGAAAAGGGAAACTTAGGACCAAGAATGAATTGAATCAAGTTATATTGTTTCAAATTTTAATGTTTTAACTTAAATGTCTGAAGGGGGCTTACCAGAGCTCAGCATTGACTGTGTAACTGAAGAAAGTCAAAAACTGATTTAGAAATTACATGTGTTTTGCATTTATTACGTATTTGATACTTTCTACTAACTCACAATGGTCCCTTTAGGAACCCTCAAGAGTCCCGTGGAGTAGGAATTTTGCTGCCTTCTTCATCAACCACAAGAGATCAGTTAGAAACTTTGTGTATCTGTAAAACCAATGCGCAGGAGCACCCCCATTCAGTCCACACATGGCCTGGAGTTTCCTGCATTTGCATCTGCATCCTGTGGCAGGTCTGGGTGCATGGGATTTGCTCTGAGAGTCCTGCCAAGCCCTGGCAGGTGGTCAAGCCCTCGTGGATGCTGGAATCTCTTTGCTAAGTGGCCCGCACTCCTCTCCCACTGCCCCCACCGTATGCATCCTAGAGACACAGAATCACTTTCCCTTTCCAGACCCAAGCATCATCAAGCCTGTTGCCCATGAATCTGGGCAAATGTAATCCCATTCTATATAAATGTAGATAAGTAAAGTCCCAGCCTTCTTTTCCCAAAGACAGACATTGACGTATATGCAGAATACCACCATCCCAGGGGTCAGAAGTCCTGGCTGGTGGACCCAGCGCTGCCACTAGCTCCCAGAAGGACATTGGGCAAGTCACTTTCCCTTTCTGGGCTTGATGGCCCAGGCTGTAAAAAAGAGAGGTGCTCTGAAAGGGTTACACTCTGGGATGCAGAGATGGGGGTGGGGGAGCACATTCCTGGGGAGTGACACAATTCCAAACACGGAGATCAAAGGAGCCCCACGGAGGGAGGCCCCAACCAGGAGCTTGCAGGCCTGCGTCTGGGGGTCGGTAATTAGCTCCTGCAGCCACCTTCCTCTCCCGTGGGCTCAGGGTGGGCGGGTGGGCGAGCACTGTGGGCCCTGAGACGGGTCCTTCCTAAAGCAGAAGGAGGTGGGTGGGGGCCAGGGGGAGGGAAGAGAGAGCCCACCAGGAACTGTGACATCTGTAATGAACTTTCTGTTAGACAGATGCAAAGTTTAAACATTTTAACAAAAAGCAGTCCACTCCGGGCTTTCTCGGCCCCAGTGTGAGAACTGCACTGTGCGGATACCTCTTAAAGTATTTGATGAGAGACTAAAAGGCTGACAGGCTAACACTTCACTTCCTTCCAATTAGGGGCCTTTAACATCAAAGGCCCAGGCCCCACTCAGCCGGGCTTACTTGAATGAATTAGGGAAGAGAATGAGTCCAGGAGTTGCTTCGTTCTCTCCCTCGCAGAGACGTGGGGCTCTAGGGGCTTTAATAAGATGTTTGAGGTCAAAAGGGTCAGGTCTCTGACTGGGAGCACCGGGAAACTGCCAGAGTGTTTCAATATGTGTGGTGTTTGTCATGCAATCAGGCTCTCCAAAGCCTCCCCTTGTGGGGCCCTGTCTTTCGGGGACCCTTCCGGAGATGGAGCACTCAGGCAGGCAGGCAGGAGGGGCCCCCAGGTCCCACTCTGGTGGGTGTTCGAGGCCTGGGTGCAGGAGGAGGTATGGCTGTGGGTCTAGCTAGGTCTAGCTTTTTCCCGAAAGCCGCAGCCTAAGATCTGGGAGGTGAGGTGCCGAGAAGCAGCCATATTAGATGGGCTTGCATTAGCTTTGGAGGTTTATTGTGGAGACACAGGCTTCAAGAAGGCGAGAGGGATTCTTAGCCATTGAGCTGGCCCTCAGCATCAGTCAGAGAGAGAATGCAATTCCATGGGCCATCAGGGCCAGGAGAGAACAAGAGCATTTCTTTTGATTTCACTTAACTTTATTATTGCAAGAGGCCCGAATCTCCTCCACAGCAGCCCCTGCCAATGGTTTTCACCTCTTGCCTGCACATTTCAGCATCCGACAGCTCACTGTCCTCAAAGATTCTACACCTTCTGTAGCGAGCAGCTCTCCGTGTCAGGAGGAGTCAGAAGATGCCTTCCTGCAACGCCCATCGATCACACTTTGTCTTGCTTTATGTAGCTGTCTCTGGACCTAGATAGACATGGATTCAAAACCTGGATCCACTGAAGCGTTTGCTTCCCTGGCCTAAAAACTTAGGCACATGACTTCATCTTTACACTTCTGCTTCCTCCTTGGCAAAATATGACTTTAGCATTGTCTTTTGAGAGTGAGAAAACAGTGAAAACAGTAAAGTACCCATCAGAGAATCTTGTACATAGTAGGGACTTAAAGAAAGGCATGTATTTATGTCCTGTTCACGGCTCATGAGGCTTCCCTTTTCCCAGCTTAACGTCCCTCACTCCTGACCCCTACTTCACTGCAGAGTGAGGAAGGCCTGGTGCAGGACACAAAGAGAGTAGCCTCTGGCCTCAGGCAGCAGAGTGACAACAGAGACCTTCCACAGTGAGGGCAGGTGAGCTGGTTCCAAGATGTTCAAATGAAGTTGAGTAAAATGGGGAAGCACTTAGTAAGGAGGGAACAACAGCAACACAGAGGAAGAGCCTGAAATGCACAAAAGTTGTGCAGAGGACAGCGGGGGGCGGGGCTTGCCCAACCCTCCAACCCACAGCCCGAGGGGCCTAGGACGGCTTTAAATGCGGCCCAGTACAAATCTAAACTTTCTTAAAACATTATGAGATGTTTTTGCAATTTTTTTTTTTTAGATCATCAGCTATCATTAGTGTTAGTGTATTTTTTGCGTGGCCCAGGACAATTCTTCTTCCAATGTGGCCCAGGGAAGCCAAAAACTGGACACCTCTGGTCTAGATCACTGGAGAAAGGAAGGAGAGAAGGCCCTCAGCTAGGCCAGGACTCCTGAGGAAAGAGCTCTGTGTGCCATGCTTTGGCACTTCAGGAGTATCCACTGTACCCCAGAACTGGGCTTTTGCCACCAACATGAGAACACTTTTGATCCTCAAAACAAAGCCAAAAAGTATGGTTATCCCCATAGTTTAGATGTGGATACTGAGGCTAAGAGTGTTTCAGTGACTTGTCCCAGTCACAGTAAATAGTGCAATTCTCTAGAACCTAAGTTTCCTAACGTCAAATCCAGATTCATGAAATGATTCATGACCTTGCTGAAAATACAAAAGCAATATAAACAGACAATAAAAAATGGAGATGGGAGAGCTCAGGGTGGGCTGGGCTACGAAGGAAAAGCTTCCTGGAAAGGTGGGCCATGCATGCAGTCTTCTGCACACGGGGCTTTCCTGGCTCTTTAAAATCATCCACCTACCATCCAGGTCTAAGGAGAAACAGCTAGTTATGGGACACAAGTTCAGATTTTGCCTCAGAAATATGCAAGGGGTCAGGCAAATCATGAAAATTATTATTGTGTGAGTGTCCAAAAACAGAGGTGGCTATGCCGTATGGACTAACATTAATTAGGCACCGACAGTTTGCTAGGAGTTTTTTAAAAAGCTCTGTGGGCCGGGTGCGGTGGCTCATGCCTGTAACCCCAGCACTTTGGGAGGCTGAGGCAGGTGGATCACTTGAAGTCAGGAGTTCGAGACCAGCCTGGCCAACATGGTGAAATCCTATTTCTATTAAAAATATAAAAATCTGCCAGGCGTGGTGGCAGGCGCCTGTAATCCCAGCTACTCGGGAGGCTGAGGCAGGAGATTTGCTTGAACCCCGGAAACAGAGGTTGCAGTGAGCTGAGATCACTCCACTGCACTCCAGCCTGGGCAACAGAGAGAGACTCCATCTCAAAAACTAATAATAATAAATAAAATAAAATAAAATAAAAAGTTCTCTGTGTTCGTTTTGATTCAACCATGGATGGTTGACATCTTTGTCTCCAATGAGGAAACTGAACGGACAAAAGGTTAAGTCCCCTGTCCAAAGTCAAAGCTTTGGTCTAAAACATGCGTCTCTTTGGTCCCAATGGAGGACTCTTTCCACCCACTTATTTCACTCCTGAACTAAGAAACTGTGCTTTGTCTGGGATCACATCACATGGACCTTGTGCCCAGTGACCTCACAGCTCCAAAGTCACAGACAGGAAACAAAGCGATATCACCTGTGCTTCCACTTCCCTGCGCAGAAGCCAAGTGCCAGGCACCAGCTCACTTGGCCACTCTGATTTCCTATTTATGCTCTGAATGAAAAGATCCTGAGGACATCTCCAGGAACCCTATTCTATTTCACCATTAATTAGCTGGGTCATTATTTTTAAAGCCCTGTCAATATTCCCCTGTGGCGAAGTCAGCTTTAACCCACGACATTTACATACAAATTGTAAGGCATCTCTACACCTTAGTCACTTCCACTAGGAAGAGCTACTGTGATCATTTTGCTCCTTCCTCTTTGCAGCAGCAACAAAAGAGAACTCCAACCAGAATGCATGGAGCATGTACTATTTCCAGGACTCCTGGGGCCATGGGGAGCCAGGGTCTGGGACCCCCAAAGAGCTGTATGTTTAATTGAGGTGACAATGATCAGAACAAAAGCAGAAAACAGAAGAGTAAATGTAGTGAGTGCTTTTCTATGTTAGATATACACACACTAGCACTTTCTCAGTATTGCATGAAACCACGACTGTTGCAGTAAGCTAGAGCTTTCCTCTCAGGGGACTCATTACATTGGAACAATCAGACACCAACATGAGAGCTGGTTTCCTTATTTTCTGCAGTAAGCATAAAGCACTGCAATGATATTATCACATCACCAAGCATCAAGATGTGGTCAGCTCTTCCTTTTCTTTTTCTTGGCCTTTATAGCAGCATCCACTGAGCTAGACCCAGTATCTACGCAACATGAATAGAGCAAAGATTACAAATTCAGTAGATAAGGACATCATAAAGTCAGAAGAGAAAAAAAGCGGTTTATGTATAAATTATACATGTTATATGTAAGTTGTCATTTATGTTTATTATGAGGCTCAGTTCCTAATGGGGAAAAAAAAAAGAGAAGCTGTTTTTATTTGGTAAGTCACTGTGTGGAGGGACTCAGAGAGTTAGCAATCCAGATGGGCTTCCTGGAGGCATTGGGGTTTGGGCCTTGAAGGTGAGGCAGGATTCTCTAGGACAGGAGCAGTGGGAAGGGCGAAGGAAGAGGGGGTCACACCCTGGACAGAATGAGGTGACATGTGGGGCAGTGAGACCTGGCCGAAGTTCTCAGCAAGGGGAGTGTCTGGAGAGAGAAGCGGTGATCAGATGGTGGCCTGTCCTGAGTGTCAGGCTGCAGACGAGCCATCTGGCTTCTAAGGGTGTATCTAGGAGCACCCCCAAAGGTGATTTTATGAGAATCTGAAATCTTGTGTGTAGTACCAAAGCCAGAGAGCCTTGCTCCCTGAGAGAGAACACTGGATACACTTCCCTCCAGCCAAAGCACTGTTTCTGCTGGAGCCCAGTACACCTCGGGTGCCGGTCACTCGAGGCTGTGTGCACTGCTTTCACCACCTGGGATGCCCCCTGTGCCTTTCAGCTTACCCCAAACCCAATCATCTTGTAAAATTTGGTTCAATTCGTCGTCTCTCCACTCTCCAAGCCTCCACTTTTCATCTGTAAAATGAGAGGAATGACCTCCCTGTTCTCTGTGGGAAAGGACTGTTCCCCACAGGAGGGAAAATGGCCTGTGCACTGGAAAGCACTATCTTCAGGGAGGAGCAGCACTGAGGAAAGAGCCAGAAAGGCCCAGACAGTCCCCTTTTCAGAGCAGCCTGGGAGAGTGGAATGAGCCCTCGGAGCTGCACTGTCATCATCTGGCACAGGGGGCACTGAGGCCTATGCCCAAGAGCCGTCGGGAAGTCGAGTGCAGCACAATGGACGGACGGACTCAGCTTCCTTCCATGCCAGAGGCAGCAGCCTCTCTGTTGCTATCATTATCTTTTTTCTCTTCCCTTCCTTTACTTTGAGAACAGAGCCGAGCCCTGTCTCCATTTCCCCTAGCCCAGATGGTGATCTCATTGTTTTATAGATTACAGAGCTGGTCCTTGGAGAGCAACAGCTCCCAATTTTTCCCCAACTGTGGGTGCTGACACATGATTCACTAGGATGTTGGGTAATTACAACATGTTACTGAGTCTCTGTCTTCTCCCCACCCCCCATCCCAGGTGGATGTGCTGGCCTCTATGGCAACCATCAAACAGCAAGCTCATAAAGCCGGCCCATCTTCCAGGGAGCAGGGCAGCTCCAGGGGCCATATTGCAAATGTTTGACCCCAGGTACCTCCAGGTCACGGGGATTTATTAGTTGGAATCTGCAGTTCAGCAGATGACATTTTAAAAGGCGTTTTATTGCTCGTGACCTGTGTGCATTGCAGGGTAATTCTGAGGCTTTGTGTCTGCAGCAACTGTCCAACCTGAAACGCCCCCACCGTGTTGCAGGCCTGCTTGATCTGCACAGGAAATCCAGGTGAGGCCACCCTCCCCCAGTCCTCAGTGCCAGTGTCCAAAATGTCAGACTCCCCTCCACCCCAAGCTGGGTCTTTATGCCCAGCCCAGGGACAGGGCTTTCTTGCAGAAAACGTGGCCAGAAGGAGATTCTCATCAAATCTTCCCAAAGGCCAGATGTGAGGGGACTTAACCAAAGTCAGGCAGCTCATATATGATAAAACTCACAGGGGAACCCAGGGATGGCCTTATCATCATTTCTCTTCTCCAGCTACAGCTGCAAAATCTTTCCATTTTCCTCTTTGCTTTAAAAGCAATGATCTAGAGGGCATGGCTTGAAGGGTAAGTCCTGGCTTAGCATTAGCAGTGACCCTAGTGCAGAAAGTGGCCTGGAGGCCAGGCTATTAGGGAAGATGCAGAGGGAACCTGTCTCTGTATGGGGGACAGACTGACTGGGTGATCTGTGGCCTCTCAAAGCAGCAGGGCACATTGTACACAGCAGCACAGCCTGTCTGCTGGCTAAGCAGCAGCTCCCTCTGCCCATTCCCCTGGTTAATTTCTGGCAGTCCTTGGAAAATGAGCATGGGAGCCTCTTCCTCTCAACCACACAGTCAGACTCAGAGGCTATCCTTCAGGCCCTTGAGTTTCCCTGGATCATGGCATCATCCCCTGTTATTACAATTATCTACACCATCTTCTGATCCTGCCCCTGACTATGATCATCTGCAGGCAGAGTTCGGGAATGATTCACTCTTTGCTACCCAAGACCTCCTCTATGTGTGGCTCATTCCCTGGTGGGACTTATAGCAAATGTTCATTCTATGGTGGTTGTATTGAGTTGAGCTCCAAATACGCCACCCTCAGGGGACGATGTCTCTTCCCTGGTGTATTCCTCTAGCAAGTAATAGAAGTGTTGAAGAAGATGCTTCCAACCCAAAGACATGCACTAAGGCATGTGATCCGAATCCTACAAGGCTTGGCCCATTCTTGTTTTCAGATTAAGATGATAAAAATCACACACACAGACACACACACATATACACACACACACTGCTGTTTTGTCAAGCAGCCTCCTTGGGAGCAGACATGTGAACTCCTTCATTGGCTTCTCATTCAAGATCAATGAAACACACAGTTTAGCCCAAAGAGGTAAAGATCTTCTCTCAAGGCTGCCAGCCGTTCCTTTTTCCCTGAGCCAACTCAATCTTGGCTCAGTTCAACAGACTCTTATTGAGTGTCTACTCTGAGCCAGCAACTGATTGAGACACCCAGATGACAAAATAAAGAAGGTAAAATGCCTACTTTCAGAAGTCCGTCTGTCTACCAGAACCAAAGAATAAGAAATCAGATCATTAGGGTGTAAAAGAATGTTTGCTTATGGAAAGGGGCCCACCAGTATACAAAAGCACCGAGGTGGGGCTGTGAGCTTGGGTGATCGTGGAGTCATCTTCCACTGGAGGTGATGCCTGGACTGTATATCGGAATAAATAGAAGTGGTTTTGTGAAGGAGAGCTCAGAAGGGCATCAATAGGCAGTGTGGTGGTATGCAGGTGTGTACAGGGAACTTCTTACTGTTCCATGTTGCTGGAGTAAAGAGTTTAAATTAGGGAGAGGAAGATTTAGAAAAACAGGCAAAAACTGCATCACAGAGTCTTGTATGCCAACCTAAGAAGATTCACCTCTGTGCTATAGGCAATAGGGAGTCATTACAGGACTTCGAATATGGCAGCGAAGACTTAAGTGCCACCTGTAATCCCAGCACTTTGGGAGGCCGAGGTGGGCAGATTACATGAGCCCAGGAGTTTGACATCAGCCTGGACATCACAGTGAAACTTCATTTCTACAAAAAATACAAAAAGTAGGCAGGCATAGTGGTGCACCTGTAGTCCTAGCTACTAGGAAGGCTGAGGTGGAAGGATAACCTGAGACTGCAGTGAGTCGTGATTGCACCACTGCACTTCAGCTTAGGTCACAGAGTAAGACCCTGTCTCAAAAATAAATAAATAAATAAATAAAAAATAAAAAACTTACCTTCTCTGAAAGATCCCTTTGGTGGTCATGGAAAGGGTAGATTGCAGTCAGAGTTGGTGGAGGAAGGGGCATCATTTATGGGACAGTTGTAACATACCAGAGGGAAGATAGTGAGGTCTGAATTGAGCAATGGAGATGGAGTGGAGAGAAACAGAAGGCTCTTGGGCTATCCAGGGGATTTAGGACAATCAGGCTTAGGCATGCAGTTAAGCGTGCAGAACCTGGTCTTCCTCCCCAATAAAGCTTCCTCCCTGATAAAGCTCCCTGATAAAGGACAGGCTCCTGGACTGTGGAGCATTCAAGGCCTGTAGGTGGGCACACATGATTTGCACAAGCCAGTTGGAAATATGCCAGGTGGAGCCCTGTCCCTTGGACTGACTGGGCAGAACTCAGGGCATCAAGAATGAAGGGAAAGCAGCCAACATCTTGGGAGAAGAACTGCAGGATCATAAAGACCACATGTGCTGGCCTGTCAGTTACTGACTCTGTAACTCTCCGGCTCTCTAAAGGGGCACTGTGGTTATGGGCACGGCAGGGTTCATTTAATTGGTAGCCTTTGAAATGTTTTTGCTCCCCAATCTTCATAAAAAGGAAATGAGGGCTGTGGTGTGTGGACGAGGTGTTGAGCTGCTCTGGCTACAAGGAAAGAGATCAGGCCTTTGATAAGCCGGGGAAATAATCAGTAGCACATGTCCCCGACACACTGCCTGATTCACACAGGACCCCAGGAATGCTAAGGGAAGTGGTGAGGAGAGGCGAGGGATGGAAGACGTTGTCATGGGGAAGACCTAAGCGAGGGATGGCTAACTGGATGGTTTGCCAGTTTCAGTGATGATCCCAAAGCCTGGTTCAAGGCAATGAGATAGGAGAGCATTTGCCCTTGAAATTGGGATGAGGCCAACATATAGGTCCTGCCCTTACTACTGGCCAGCTTTGGGGCACTGAAAGACCCGGTCTTTTCTCCTGGCCTGTTCACTCATCTGCTTAGATGGGGATCCTCATGCCTACTTCACAGGCTTTCAATGACAATCCAGTGAGGGGCAGCAGAGGATAGTGGTTAGGAAGCATAAGCCCAGGGCAAGGCGGTCAGACTGCCTCAGCTCAAATCCCAGTTCCATCACTTACAGGTGGTGTTACCTTGGACAAGTCACCTTACCTGCCTAAATCTCTGTCTATCCTTCCAAAAACTGGGGCTACAATAGTGCTCATATCATAGGCTGAATCTTAAGATTAAAGTAGACACCACATGTGTATGGTCGTACCTACACAGTGCTCCCTCACGGGGAGCATGCTTGTGAAATGAAAGGGCTGAGCACTGGATCCAAACAGGGAGGAGGCCTATTGTGCCCTGGGCCTGGACAGAACAGGAGGACAGGAGTTTACCTCCAATTCAGTATCAAATATATTCTAGGCATAATCCATTTTTGTCATCATTTAACTCCAGCTCCAACACTGTTATATTCATTTTACAAACAAGACTAGAGGCATGAAGAAATTAAGTGACTTGCCCAGGGTCACAGTCACAAGGATTTGAACTCAGAGCCCATGCTCTTGCCCATCAGGTGGCATGCTTCATCATGGCATCGTGTGGGCTGCTGGCTCCTGTATTGGGGAGCTGACACTGAATTGTCCTTCCATTGGCCTGGCATTTACTGGGAGGCGGTGGTATGCCCAGCATGTGCCAGGGACTTCACATATCTTGTTGCATCTTCATAGCCACGTGAGCTGACTACGGTTGTCCCCATCGTACAGACCAGGTAAGAGGTCTGTGAGGCAGCTCCCAGCTGCCTCGGGACAGCAGTTTGGACCTGAGCCTGTCCAGCCTTCCTTCCTCACCCCCGCCATGTTCCTGCCACTGCAACAGAGTGCAGCGGAAGGATGACAGCCACGAGCAGGCTTGCTTGCATTTTCCCTCAAGGTCCTTCCACAAATCTTTTCTTTTCTGTACAAAGCAGATATTGTCATTCCTGTTATACGCGAAGAAACTGAGAATGAAGTGTATGAAGCCACTTCCCAAGGTCCCAAAGCAAGCCTGCAGCACCTTTCTGAACATGCGGGGAGTAGCATTTAACCCACAGCTTGTCCCTAAACGGAAGGCATTTTTTGTGTCCCATCCCAGACAACCAGCTCTCGTTGAGGATTTGGGAAGGTGCCTCAAGAGGGGCAGGCCACGCGCCCCTGGCCACTAGGAGCTGCACGCGCAGCCCATACCTATGGGCTGGCAGCATTGGATGCAGCTTTAATTAGATCACCATGGTAACGAGCTAGGGAGAACAATAGACAGTTGTGTACTTGCGAGAATCCTCAGCCTCAGACAAGGCCCTGCTAAACTGTAATTACGCTGGAGTGGAAGCGGATCTTCATTTCTGGGAGAGAAATAAACTGCCATCCTGGTCTTCTTGTCTTCCCATGTTATTCCAACATCAGGGTACAGGATTCCAAGTGTGTTTATTTTGTCTTATTTTATTAATTAATTAATTAATTTATTTATTTATTGAGACAGAGTTTCACTCTTGTTGCCCAGGCTGGAGTGCAATGGTGCTATCTCAGCTCACTGCAGCCTCCACCTCCGGGTTCAATCGATTCTCCTGCCTCAGCCTCCCAAGTAGCTGGGATTACAGGCGCACCACCATGCCCGGCAAATTTTTTTTTTTTTTTGATATTTTTAGTAGAGACAGGGTTTCACCATGTTGGCCAGGCTGGTCTTGAACTCCTGATCTCAAGTGATCCACCCGCCTCAGCCTCCCAAATTCCTGGGATTACAGGCATGAGCCACCGTGCCCGTCCCCAAGTTGGTTTATTGTTTGAATTTATATTTTAGAAGTGGTCAAGCCCCATATAAAGATGATTATCTTTTCATCCTGGGTTCTGAGTGGTGTATTCCCAGAGGGGAGATGAGGACAAGGTAAAGAAGGCCATAATAATCACACAGGTAGCATTTATTGAGTATTAGATGTACCAGGTGTTCCCTACGACTTCCCCTACTGTCACTATAAGCGTCTGTGGCGGGTGTCCTGAGCCCCACTTTACAAGGCAGGAAGTCGGCTGTCATGCCTTGTGCCCTCAACACTGAGGAGCCGCGAAGGTTTGACCCCATGGCCCAAAGGCATTGGCCTGAGCTCACATCGCTGTTCAGGGACAAAAGGAGATGAACCAGTTCAGCTGCACTTCTGAGACATCGGGGTTCTTAGTCCTCCTTTTGATGACATGTGAGGGATGCCCTTTAATCCAGTTAGTTTTGCTAGTCTGATAAGATGCAGTTCACCCTGGCCATCGGAGTCAGCGAGACCCATAAATAACAGAAAGATCATTTAAAAATAAATTACTGACTGAAAGCAGGGAAAATGCATCCATGGATTGTTGCTCTCCAGGCCTGCCATAAATCTGTTGTCTTTTTGGCTCAGCAGTGGCCAGGGTCACAGACCATAAAGGGCTTCCACAGAAAAATGTGAAAAATCCTAGCAAGATGGGACACGCTGGAGACATAGGAAAGGCATCTGGTTTTCTGCCTTGGCCTGGGTTGGAGGATGGAGCCCGTGGGCTGGGCCGGCAGCACAGGGTGGGCACGCATGCGAGAGCCAGCTGTGGCCCTGCCCTCAGGGATTCCAGGGGCGCCCTGTAAAGACCCCAGTCCCTGTAACATGTTCTGGTGCCTGACCCACTTTTTCAGAAAGGAATGGCATTTCCAGTCTCACTGCAGCATGAAGCTAACATTTCCCTTTGGAAATTGGACACAGTGACCCCAATTCGTGTGACTGAGAGTGAGTCTGATTTTACATTTTATTTTTCCAGAGAACTCCGTTGTTTCCGAAGAGAGGGGAGATGGAAAGAGGTGTCAGAGGGCACTGGTCAGGGGCGAGGAGCGCTGGAAGGTGGGGATGGCAGAAGGCAAACATGGGGCGCTCCTAAAGGCAGCCCTGGCTGTGATGTGAGAGAGTAGGGTGGCGTGGTGGCCTCGGGGAGCCTTTGCACAGGTAACGAAGTGGGTGTCAATGCCTGTTGCCTCATTGGGTTGTGTCAATGATCAAGTGAAATGGTGCCTCCAGCCTGCTGCTCAGAAAGGCCACCATGAGTGGATTACCTCTGTACCTGTGCTTGGAGCAGCTCCATGGGCATGTCACCCTGCCTCCAGATGGTGTCAGGGTCCCCTCCCCTTCCTCACAAACTTTAACAGCCAGCAGGAACACTTTAAGAATGCATGACTCACTGGGAAGGTCCAGAATCGCAAGCCATTGGCAATTTGAGCTGCAAGTGCCTTTCCAGATTGTTAGATGAGTGGCTTAAAACTCTGTGGCTGTTACCTCACAGAGAATGTGCTGAAAGTCAAGAACCCTTTTCCCTGAGGGAAAAAGGCATCTGTGGACATAGGTCCAACCATTTGTGTACAATCTCAGAGTCTCTCCCACCCCTTGACCCCCATCCATAGACCCCCCTCAGAGGACTTAGACTCCAGCTGAAAAATCCTTGCCCTGGCCCAGCCTCCTCCTTTTATAGCTGGTTAAACAGAAAGAGGAAGTGACTGCCTCCAGGTCAGAGAGCCAGGGAGCCCCATGCTGCTCCGGCCCCATTCCTCCCTATCTCTTCCTGCACAAACTGCTACAACCACTTCCAGTTCCACTTGGCCTCGCTGCAATGTGTTCTCTACACAGCAGGTAAAGTTGCCCTTTACAAATACAAATCACACCCTGCACCTCTCCCATTCAAAATCCACTACTCTTGAGATTAGATCCAATGTTTTCTGTGACCCACAGGCAAGGGAACTGCATGACACACCTTCAGAGAGGTCATTCGTGCCATGGCACCACCCTAGGAAAGACAGGGCACCCCACATACAACCATGGCTAGGCCCTGCCTATGAGGCTCCCCTCAGCACACCCCTTCAGCCTCATCAGGTGCCACACTGCCCCCACTCCAGCTGCAGAGGCCTTTTCACGGCTCCTGTAATGGCAGAAGTGTGTTCACACCGCAGAGCCTTTGCACACCCTTTTCCTTCTTCCTGCCGCACTCTCCCTTCTCTCTTTGCCTGGCTGTGTCCTGTTCACTCTCCACTTCTCAGCTTTGTCACTTTCCCAAGAAGGTCTTCCCCAGGTTGAGCTGACCTGAATCATTCGGGGTCCAGAGAGGACCCAGGAGCCGTGAGAGGTTATTCCAACCAGAGGGGATTTAATACAGGAGATGTGTGCTACAGGTGTGGGAAGACTGAAAAGGTTTTTTAAAATTAGCACTGCATTTACTCAGAGATCTGTGACTTGAGAGAGCCATTACTAGCTCTAGGGTTGAGGGAACAAAAGGGAAGAGGTGGGGTTACCAGGACCTAGAAGTTCAGAGAAGGGGAGTGTGGGGGGCAGGTGCTCTGACTGCCAAGCAGCTGCCACGTGTCTGTGGCCAGGGCCTCCTCGAGGGTCCTGCACAGTTGGTGCTTGAATCTCTGAGTGGACAGGGGACACTTTCATAGGCAGCACTGGCTCCTCAGAGGGCCTCCTCACACCTGGACGGCTGCTGCTCAGAGTGCACTGTAGGGCACAGCTGTGTCTAGGTTGCCACAAACCCTGAGTGGCTGGAGCTCTGTACTGCTCCTTTGAGAGGTGGAAGAATGGGAAGGGCGTCCCCTTGATCCCACCTGGGAGTCTAACCTGCTAGCAAAGGATTCTGGGGAATGTGGTTCTCAGACTCCCAGCCCCATCATCTCAGAATATGGAATGGGCTTGGCTGAGAGACACAAGTCAATGACTGGCACAGCCCACACCGCATGGTATTTATCTATTGACCTTTGTATCTGACTATGGACTCTATGAAGGTTGTCCAAAACTGTAGCATATCTCCATTCTTGGCTCAAAGCCTCGACTGTCAGCACTCAATCAATGTAGACTGCACAATTGAATAGGGGGAATCAGATATTTCTGAGCCTCAGTTTCCAAGCTGCAAAGTAGAGAGAAATCACACTCCACAGAATTATCATGACGATACGAACATAATGGATGTGAGCGAGAGTGTACTGCCTGGAGTTGGGTCAGGAAGGAACCTGAGAGCCCTTAATGGAGAATGTCTGGCTTCACCAGGCGCCATGTTCGAAGCTGGTTCTTAACAGTGTGTGAGGATGCTGAGGAGAGAGTGCGAAGCCCACTTACCGCCTATCTGCCCCTAAAGAATTTCAAAAGTCCCTTCTGCCTATTTTTGTCCTGTGGTGCTTGAGTGACTATGTGGGTTATCGCCTGTGACAAACACTTTTATGTGAGTGCTGACATTTCTGGTGTTTCCTGATAGGACGACATCACCTACAGAGCCCTATGAAAAGAAGTCAGCAAATACTCTGACCTCCGGGTGCTGGGGGAGAAGACAGCAGACAGAGAGAGGAAGATCTGGGCCCAGAATTCCTTGTTCGTGTCCAGAAAACTATAAACACAGTGAATTCCTTCAAACGTATCTGCAAAGCCCGCTGGGTAGTTTATGTCACAGAACGTCTCAGAGATTAGAGCATTTTGCACGCACCAAGACTCCTGATCAAAGATGTATCTAAACATGCCCTGTGGGTGGGCAATTCCTCAGGAGCCAGTTCGGGAGGCTGTTTGTCACCTGTCCTCTCCCTAGTAAGGAAAGGCCCCCCTGGACCAGTCAGAAGACTTGAGTTCTGGTCTCTTACTGTTGACCTCAGTGAGCTTGGATGAATCCCCTCTGCATTTGTCTTGATTGGTTCTTGATTGGTTCAGCCCAAGCTCTGCATTTAAATCGCCTGTGTCACTTACCACCAGAGATCTGATTTAATTGGTTTGTGGTGGGGAGCAGAGATGATAGAGCTCAGAAAGCTTCCCAGGTGATTGTAATGTACATCCGGGACAAGTCCACTGCTCTAGCATACGTTAGTGTTCGTCTATCAATCACTTTGCAGTGCTTGTTAAAGCTCAGCTGCTCGACCACTCACCCACAGTTTCTGCTTCAATCCTTCTGGGACGGAGCCTTAGAATCCACCTTCCTTGTAAGTTCTCAGGCGCTGCTGAGGCTGTCAGGCTGGGATCAGTTTTTAAGCAGCCCTGCTCTAATCCAGAGGTTCTCAATGGTAGAGCGGTTTTTCCTCCAAAGGGACGTCTGGAGGATGTCTGTTTTCACAAGCGGGAAAGGGATGCTGCTGGCATCTAGTGGGTAGAGGCCAGGGAGGCTGCTAAACACTCAACAATGCACAGGACATCCCCTCAAAATAAAGACTTATTCAGGCTGAATATCAACAGCGTCTCTGCTTCTGCAATTTTAATGTGCAGTCAATTTTAACACGAGTCACCTGGAGATTGTGCTAGATTACAGATTCTGACACAGTCAGCCCAGGAAGGACCTAAAGATTTTGCATTTTTATAAACTCCAACGTAATGTCCAAGGTGCCAGTCTTCCAGAACTCAGTTCCTTCAGCTCCAAAGACATTCTCCCTCAGCCTGAGATAGCACTGTTATTCACTGTTCTATCTTAGAGGCTACCACAGTGTAATGGCTGACATGGGAAGCACTCCATGATATCAGGAGGACAAAAGACGCTCGCAATGTGTGAGCTGAATGGGCTTCACCTACCCACCATCACGCTTCCACCAGGAGCACTGGAGAGTCAGAATCTTGTCTAGTTCTTCATTCCTCCAAAGCTGGACACAGAGCTTGACACAGATCAGGTGTTTCCTATATGTCTTTTGTACAAAATTAGACCGATGCAGTAAACACTAGCATTCTTGGAATTGCAGGTTATCATTTTCCAAGCTGCTGCTGTTGATTCTTCCTTCAAAACGAACCCCTTTTCTGGCCACGGTGCTTTTTGTTTATGCAGTACTTTCACTTGCATTTTCTCAATTGATGCTCATCACAAAATTATGAGGACAGCCAGGCCCAATCCCACTTATGGATGGGAAAACTGAAGTGCAACGATGTGTAGAACCTCACCTTGAGCCGAAGTCCAGCATCCCCATGTCATCTGAGGCAGCTCCCTACCCTCCAGGCCTCCTCCACTAAGTCCTGCCTTCTCTTCACTGAGCACACACCTTCTACGCTTTCTTCCCCATCTTTTCTGTCTTTCAGTTGCTCCCACTCTGTGCACCAGAGAGCCACCCCCTCTGTCTAACTGGCTTTCTTTCTAAGCCTTTCTGTCTAGAACACTTTGGGTGGCTGAGGGCTTCCTGAAATGCCAACCAGAGACAGAGATTCGCTTCAGCTGTTTGAGGAAAGCCAAGGTCCTCCCTGTTTTGCTGCCCCCGTCCACCTGCTCCAGCTGGTCCCATTAGGTGATCCTAATGTAGAGGCTGTAGTCTACCAGGTGCCCTGTCTGGGATCCTTCTCACCACAAAGCAGGCAGATGGCTGGCACCTGCTTTGTGCCAGGCCCTGTGGTAGCCTGCAAAGGGACACAGATTTATAATCTACAGCGCTTCCTCACAATATGGTGTTTAAAAAGGAGGTTGGGTTCAGATTTCCATCCAAATCCCAACCCTTGATTCTACAACCACTAGCTGCTCCTTCTCTCTCTTTGCTGATTTCTCATTGTTCTTCCTGGTTGCTCAATGCTAGAGAATCCAGGGCCCCATCTTCTGACCTTTTATTTTCCATCTACACTCAATCCCTAGGGAGCTTCACCAACATCCCTGTCCCATCAATGACTTAGTGATTTACAGCTGAAACACCAACCTCTCTTCTGAACTCCAGACTGATATAGCCAAATACTTACTTAACATCATCACTTTGATGTCTAATAGAAAACATAGGTGTATGTATCCAAAACTAAATTCTAGATTGCCTCCCACTGCCTCAAACATGTTCCTCCCACAGTTATCCTCATCTCTTTTAGTGTTAATTTCCTTCCATATTTGGAGCAATCTTTGTCACCTCTCCTCTCACAAATTTTATTCCATTTGGCTCTATGTTTGGAATATGTGCTTCTCTGCTTCCCCACCCTGGCCCAAGTCACAGCATCTCTCACTGGATGATTGTATGAGCCTCTTAACTGGTCTTCCTCCTCCACCCTAACCCTCCCGCAGATTCTCACAGAGAGTGTGATTTGAAACAAAAAGTGTGATTGCTTCACTTTGTATAGCAGGTTGAATGGTTGCCCAAAGATAATATGGCCACATTCTAATACCTGGACCTAGTGAACATGACCTTCTTTGGAAAAAAAGGTCTTTGTGGATGTAATTCAATAAAATACCTTGAGATGAGATTATCCCAGATTTTCTGGGTGGGCCCTAGATCCAAGGACAAATGTCTTTAGAAGAGACAGAAAAGAAGACAAACACACAGAAGAGAAGCTGATGTAAATCTGGAGGAAGAGATTGGAGTTATGCAGCCACAAGCCAAAAGATTCCTGGAGCCCCAACCAATTGGAAGAGGCAAAGGAAGGATTCACCCCTAGAGCCTCTGGAGGGAGCCCAGCCCTACTGACACCTAAATTTCAGACTTCTGGCCTCCAAAACTGTGAGAAAATAAATTTCTGTTGCTTTAAGCCACCAAGATTTGGCAGCCCAAGGAAACTAATATGTAGACTACATAAGTCAGATCACATTCATTTTCTGTTCTTAATCTCCCAGTGTTATTTCATGTCATTTTCAGTAAAATCTAAATTCCATGTCATGGCCCACAGGGCCTTGCGTGAGCTGCCACACACTCTCCTTCTGGCTGTGTCTCCCTCCACGCTCCCTCTCATGCGTCTGCCCTAGCGACATTGTCCTCCTTGATGCATCTTGACAACCCCAGCGTGTCCCCACCTCCGAGACTTTGCAATGCATTCTCTCTACCCAGAAGAGCTTTTCTCAGATACCCATGGCTCGCTCCCTTACTTCCCTCTGGTCTCTGTTAGAAAAGCAGAGCCCTCCCCCATAGCCTGGTGTCAGTAAGACGCCCCTTCCTTACGTGGTATATCCACCATGGTGTGCATCACTAGTTAATATAAAGTGTAGTCATTATTAGTCTGCTTGTTTATCTGTCTCTTACCAACACAATGAAAGAACCATAAGGGTAAGAAATTTGCTTTCTTCACTGTTGTCTTCCCTGTGCAAGAAAGTGCCTGGCACATCCAAGGCACTCAAAACTTGTCTGCTGAATGGATGTCTCTTGCCATCTGCAAGACCACGTACACATCACTCAACCTCTCCAGCCTCAGCAGTAGAACAGGGGCAACAATAACCACAAGTGCAGTGGAGTTTCCCAGCACCACACCGTAATTCCCAGAATGGCTGGACTGGGTCTCTTTGATGTCCTGCCTTCAGCTTTCACAGAGAGACCCAACAGCCTTGTGAGATCAGCTCCTGCCCTTGCTCTAGGGATGCCACCCAGGCCTTGAGTCACATCTTTTTGTGTCCCCACTGTGACATCACACAGCAAAATACTTATTTTAAATTAGAGAACTAGAAAAAGCTTGGCTGTGCTGGTGAGCTTCTGTGTTTTTCCTTTGGGGATAGGGAGGACCATGTAATTCACAGTTTTTTTTCTGATTTAGCCTCCAAGATGCCCAACCTTTAGCAACTGAGGAGGTCTTTATGAGTGAACATCCATGACCCACTTTCCCCTGCTTCATCTCTACGTGATAATTTACACGTTCTCTGCTCCCAGCATTTTACTTCTTATTTGTATTTTACCATTTTCTTGGGTATAATCCCTGCATGTAGATGGAGGCTGGATAAATAGCTCAACAAACAAAATAACCAAATTCATAATCTGCGGTCAAGAGGGAGCCACCCAAACATAAATCATTATAGTACAATGAGCTGGATCTGTAGTGACCTTCCAAAAAGGGCACTGAAGGAGTCTCAGAGAAGGAAGCAACTAACTGTCCAAGTGAGTCAGGAGATGCCGCAGAGAGAGAGTGTGTGTGTGTCTGAGCCAGGAGTCAAAGACTAATTGGAGTTTTTGAGACAGAGACCCTGAGGAAAGGTAAAAAGAGCCTGGAGTGTTTGGGAAATGGTACAATGTCCTAGGTCCCTGGAGCACAGGGTACAAATACGTACAAAGGAAGGCAGAGAAAAGCAGGAGGGAGCTTGGACCAGATTCTGAAGCACGTGAGGCTTCATGTGAAAGATGTTTGATTCTCTCATCTTAGAAAAATATATGCCTGAACCGAGGAAAGAAAAAGTAATTTTATTATTTTTTAAATAGGAAGGCTTAATTTTTTTTTTTTTTTCAAATATCAGGGTTACAGAGAACTTTTCTGATCATCTTGGGCTCTAAGTCAACTTCCTCATTTTGGAGATTTGAATTTCAAGGCACAGAGAGGGGAGGATCATTACTCAACGTCAGGCAAAAAGCTTAAAAGAGCCCCCATCTGTTTTCTCCTAGTCCAAGATTCCTTCCCATTAGCTACAGCCTTTGTTTTCTGCTGTTGGTAACTGTCAGATCTAGGACAGAGTGACCCTTCTAAAAGATGCCTAAGTCCCTTGACCCCTAGGCTGACCAGGCACCCAGGCAGAACCCGGGTGGTAAATTCGACCCTCTCTGATCTCTTAGCCCCTCACCGTGGTGCAGTGGGATCACCTCCTTGTCTGCACCCACTTATCTCCCCCACCCTCATACCTACCTCTCTACTTCATTTCAATCTACTTTACTGAGTATAATTTAGATGCAATAAAATTATACTTTGCAATGTGTATAGTTTAATTACTTTGAGTGTTCAGTGACTTTGGCTTTACACCCACTGCAATCCAGAAGCAGAACATTTGGCACTCCCCAAAAATTTCCTCTTGCTCCTTGGCAATCCATCTCTCCCTTCACCCATGGGCCCAGAAAACTACTGGTTAGCTTTTTTTTTTTTGCAATAAATTAATGTACTATTTTACAATTTTATGTAAATGGCTTCATAGACCATGTGACATCTGTATTTGCTTGACTTTTTTTATTCTGTGGAATTGTTTTGAGATTCACCCAAGTTGTCATGTTTATAAATGGATTATTTCTTTTTATTATTGCTGATAAGTGTTCTATTGTATGGAGCTCCTCATTCACTCACTGATCAACATTTGCATTGTTTCCCATTTTCCACTATTGCAAACAAAGCTGCTTTGAATATTTGACTATGTCTTTTTGTAGACATACGCTTTTATTTCTCTTGGGTAGATAACTTGGAGTGGATGTTACAGTGTATGTTTACCTTTATAAAAATTGCTGTTTTCCAACACGAGTATATGACTTAGCAGTATATGAGAATTCTAGTTAACTTCACATCTTTACCAACATTTGTTATTGTTAGTCTTCTTCACTTTAGCCCACCTAGGCAGTTTATAATGGTATCGCATTGTTTTAATTTGTCAATTTCTGGTAACTAATGAGGTTGAACATTTTGCCATGTGCTTTTTCATGAAGTGTCTTTTCTTTTGTGAAGTGTCTTTTCAAGCCAGTTGTCCATTTTTAAATTATCTTGTTTTGAAGTTCTAATAGTTCTTCATACATTCTGCGTTCTTTTGTCAAAAAGGAGCTTGCAAATATTTTCTCTGTGGTTCATGTTTTAATTTAGCTGTGTCTTTTGAAGAAAACATTGTGCTTTTCTTTTAAATGTTGATAAAATGAGGCTGGGCGCAGTAGCTCATGCCTATAATCCCAGCACTTTGGGAGGCCAAGGCGCTTGGACCCCTTGAGGTCAGGAGTTTGAGACCAACCTGGCCAACATGGCAAAACCCCTCTTTACTAAAAATACAAAAAAAAAAAAAATTAGCCAGGCACGGTGGCATATGCCTGTAGTCCCAGCTACTCGGGAGGCTGAGGCAGGAGAATGGCTTGAACCTGGGAGGCAGAGGTTGCAATGAGCCAAGATTGTGCCATTGCACTCCAGTCTGGGCAACAGAGCAAGACTCCATCTCAAAATAAATAAATAAATAAAAATAAAAAGTTGGCGAAATCTAATTTATTTTTATGTTTTGTACTTTTAGTGATCTAAAAAATATTTGTCTTCTTAGATCCCATAGTCACAAAGATTTTTTATTATGTTTCACATCAAAACTTTTAGTTGTAGCTCTTTCATTTAGATCAATCATCCACTTTAATTAATTTTTTGTGTACAGTGGGGGTAAGAGCTGATGTTTGTTTATTCATTTGTTTCCTGTCAGAGTTGTTTCACCATCATTTGTGGAAAAGATTCCCCTCTCTCTATTGAATTGAAATCTTTATCACAAATTAATTGGCCATATATGTGTGGGTTTATTTCAGAACTCTCTATCCTGTCTTGTGATCTGTATATATAACCTTTACTGATACCGTGATATCATGATTACTGTAACTTTATATTAAGTCACAAAATCAGGCAGTATAAACTTTAACTTTATTCTTTTTTTTAAACATTGTTTTGTCTATGCTAGGTCATTCACATTTTTATATAAATTTTAGAATCAGCTTGTCAAAATCTATTTTTAAGAAAAGCCTACTAGAATTTTTATTTCAATTGTATTGTATCTATAGACAAATTTCAGCATAATTTACATTATAACACTATTTATTCTTCCTCTGATCCATGAACATAGTATATTTCTCCATTTCAGTATTTTTAAATTTCTCTCAGTAATAGCTTATAGTTTTCAATGCAAGGGGCCTGGCATATCTTTTGTTAAATTTATTCCCAGGTTTGTTAGGTTTTCATGCTATTGCAAATGGAACTTTTTAAGGTTTTAAAATTGCTTACTGCATATATATATATAATATATGTATTACACACATATATATAATGCAGTTAATTATTATTATTTCTAATAGCTGTTTCTTAGATTCCATAGATCCATAGATTCTAGAGCATTTCCTGTGTAAGCAATTATGTTATCTGCAAATAGAGAATCTTTCACTTATTTCTTTTCTGTTTTTTTTTTTTTTTTTTTTTTTTTTTGTGTGTGTGTGGTATTGCAATGGCTAGGATTTCCAGGACAGTTGTGAATAAAAATGAGAGTGGACATGCTTAGCTTATTCCTAAGATTAGAGAAAAAGTGTTCAATATTTCACTATTAAATATGTTGTTAGCCAGAGTTTATTCATAGATGACCTTTATCAGATTGAGGGAGTTCACTTCTAGTTTTTCCCTAACTACCTCTTCAACTCAAGGCTCCAAGGAAAAATGGTGCTTCTTATGAAAAGGATGGCGCAGGTGCTGAGCAGTGCTGAGCAATCAACTATGCAGAAGCTTTAAACAGAAGCAAGACTTTCCTCAAGAAAAAACCCTCAGCTTTCCAGACCTGGGATGGACTCTGTCCATAAGCTACTGATTGAGCTCATCATAAATCAGGGCTGATTTAGCCCATCATAAATCATCATAAATCATTTAACCCATTATAAATCATTTTGATTGAGGATTGAGAAAGTCTTTAACAGGATGTAGCTTTTTGTTATGCTCTGGTTTCGGGGTCAAAAAATAACTTTAAAAAATACTTTTTTTGTACCACCTAAGACCAATTAGAATGGCTCCTTTAAAAAAAAAAAAAGAAATTAACAAGTGTTGGTAAGGGTGTAAAAACAAATTCTTGTGCACTCTTGGTGTAAATGTACAATGGTGCAACCACTATGAAAAACAGTATGTCAATTTCTCAAAATATTAAAAATAGAATTACCATATGATCCGGCAATTCTGTTTGCAGCAACACACCCAAAATAATTGACAGTAGTATCTCAAAGAGATATTTGTACACCCATGTTCATAGCAGCATTATGCACAATAACCAAAAGATAAAAATAACCCAAATGTCTATCAATGGTGAATGAATAACAAAAGGTGAGATATACACATAATGAAATATTATTTAGCCTTTAAAAAGGAGTAAATTCTGATATATGCTACAACTTAGGTCGTTTAAAATATCATACTAAGTGAAATCAGCCAAAGGGCCAAATACTATATTATTCTAGTTATATGAGGTACATAGAATAGTCAAATCCATAAACACAGCAAGTGGAATGGGGATTGTCAGGGGCCAGAGGAAGGTGAAAATGGGGAATTGTTGTTTAATGGGTACAGAGTTTCAGCTTTGCAAGATGAAAAGAGTTCTGGAGATTGGTTGCAATACAATGTGAATGTATTTAACACTATTGAATTGTACACTAAGAAATGGCTAGGATGATATATTTTATGTTATGTATATTTTACCACAATGCAAAAATTTTTTAATGGTTTTTGTCTCTTGACCCAGTATCTACATTCCACTCCATCCTCTACTGTCCTTCCCCCAGTCACTCTCCATTACCTTGACCCTAATTTATTTTCTCTTTTTTTTTTTTTGTTTGAGGTAGAGTCTCACTCTGCCTGTCACCCAGGCTGGAGTGCAGTGGCACGATCTCGGCTCACCTCAAGCTCCACCTCCCAGGTTCACACCATTCTCCTGCCTCAGCCTCCCGAGTACCTAGGACTACAGGCACTCGCCGCCACGCCTGGCTAATATTTTGTATTTTTAGTAGAGACGGGGTTTCACCTTGTTAGCCAGGATGGTCTCGATCTCCTGACCTCGTGATCCACCTGCCTCAGCCTCCCAAAGTGCTGGGATTACAGTCACGAGCCACCGCCCCCAGCCAGACCCTAATTTATTTTCTTTAGTTACATTGGTTCATTCTTCTATTATCTGTCAGACACATCGGAATATATGCTCCATTATGGCAACAGTCTTGTCTTTCCAGATTTAGAGAAGTAGCCAGCTTATAGAAGATGCTCAATAAAATGCAGTAAATGGAGTCTTGAATCCAGAAAATGTCACAAATCAATGTGAACTCCTTTTCATAAGAATGGGGTAAGAAGACTTCTCTATCTCATCCCCACACCAGATAAGAAAGCAAACAGACCTGAACTTAAATCTCAGACTTACCACTTTTGACCTGTGTGGCTTCAAACCAGTCACTTTATATCCCTAAACCTAAACTTTTCTTCCCACGAATAATGAAGATAAAAACACCTGGTATCTATCATAGGATATCAGGATTACATCATAATAAAATATACAAAGGTATATTTATAAGTCTTCAGTATACTATAGTCTCTGGAGCCCAAATGACTAAATTCAGTCAGTATGTCCCAAGAGTGAAACTGGTCTCTGATTTGTGTCACAGGAGATAATAAGTTCAATTGTCCCTGCGACTAATCAGGGTATTTTGATGGAATTGGGGTGGGATAATCAATTCTGATAAATTGCTTGTATTTATTGGCAAGATGTTGTCTATGTAATTTATAAAAGGTTCATACTTCCAAAATGCAATCTCTGCTCTATTTTCACTAATATGCATTGATCACACAAGCTGGCAAATTTAAAGAACAAGCTCCAGAGAAACCATAATCATAACTAGTGAGCTTATTAAACGATGCCGATGTACAGACTGGCATCTGAGCAGAACTTCAGTGTCTCTCCATTGTCTACAGGATCCCATGTAAATTTTTTGGCTTGGCATTTATTATGTATGACCATTCATAACCTGGTTCCAACAATCTAATCTAGTTTTCTTCCCTCCCCACCCAAGACTCAAGACCCAACTCTTCACCCACTCCCTTAACACATACACAGACACACACACACAATTTTTGATCTGGCCACAAGCCACTAAAGCCCATTATTACTCTGTGCTTTTTTGCCTGTGTTCTTTATTCATTGCAAGGCATACATACCCTTTGCAAATGTATCTGCCTAACAAACACTTACTCATCCTTAAAGACCAAAATCAAATGTTCTCTCCTTTGTGAAAACTGTCAAACCTATCCATAAGAAAATTTGTTCCTTCCAATATGTTCACACAATCCTTTATATAGCTTCAATTCCAACACCTCTTTCATTGTTTTGTGATAAACCATTTGATTCCTTTCTTCCTTACTGACCATAGACTCCAAGAGTCTTACTCATTTTATATTTGATATTTTTACATTGCACCATATCTAGACCTCAGTAGACATTCAGTAAATCTTCCTTTGAAAGGAAGAATAAATAAATTTTGAGTAGATAGATAGATAAATGGATGGATGGATACATGACTACCTATAGTAATGGTCTGGAGTTTCAGCATCTTTCTTCGTGGCATCTGTATAAGCCCATTCTCAGAGACACACCTCACATCTGATGTTTGGGGACCATCAACTCTGAGAGTTTTATATCTTGGAAGAACCATTGATTTTTCTTCCTTTGTTTGGCCTTTCAGTCCCAATGCTATTGGTGTTCATCAGAAGGACAAGAGGAAGAAGGGTGAGAGAGTTTTTTTAAGAACCCAAAAAGTCAAAATCAGATCATTAGGGATGTAGATAGCTCCAAATTTTTCCTGGCTTCCTCTGAATAACTGCCATGTTTTTAACATTAACTCTGCTATCTATCTTGCTGACAATTCCTTTCCTGCTCATAGAAATGGTTGAAATCTGCCCCCTCTGTTCTTCAACCCCTACCACTAGGACTGGGGTCCTGGAAGGATTCTAATATTATCAGAATCAAATATGATTCTGTTTCCTATTTGGGGTAAGGAAGTAGCATGGTGAAAAGTAAATAATTCCATGTTTAGAATTTGTGGCCTGAACTAGAGTCCCTGCTCTCCTACTTAGTCACTTAGTTTTTTCCTCTGAAAATGGAGGCAATATTACCTACCCTGAAAATAAAAATATAATCATCAAAATCCAGGAAGTCAACAGAAAGACCTCACTCTAACTACAGCAAAGTTTGTGCTTAATGGGTTGGCTCTTTTCTTCTCCTCTCCACTCCTCCAAATCACATCTTTATGCAGAATACCTTGATTTCTGCCTCCACTTTCTGCCTCTTTGTTGCTTATGACTTGAAGCCTTTTGTCTAGCCAAGTGGAGACCTTGAGAATCTGTGGCCAAGGATAGGGGGAGCCTGGGGGAGTGTCAGGCAGGAGAGCACTGAGAATAGGGAGGAAGAGTCTCCAACACTCTGCAAGATATGGGGGCAGGAAGGGTTGCTTTATATCGTTTTGTTTGTTTCTTTGTTTTAAATATGTAGCATACATAAAGTACCTGGCACAACAGAAGTGGTCAAAAAACTGTATCTGTGATCATCAATGCCATCATATGAAAACCAGAGAGCATGCACCTCCACAAAGATAGCAGGTGAGCATGTGGCAGAGCAGGAAAGGTGCTGAGATGGCAGGTGAGTATTTGAACTTTGATTTCAAGAAAACCTCTTTCCTGGTTTACTGTGTTCAGAAACCCAACTACTCAACAACCCTATAAGGGGGCTGGGGTGAAGCTTCCACAGAGGCTTGTTATTTTAAGTTTAGAAAGAGCTGATACCATTGCTTATCAAGTTCCCTAATGCACACCCAAACTCACGTGCACTGCCCCCAGAAACCTTGACTCAAAGTCAGCAAGATTTGAAACATGACCAAGGCTCAGAGAGAAGCAATGTCTGGGTTTTGTAACCTTGGGGATCAAACATTCCAAACTCTCTCCCTCTTTCTGCTTTTGTTCTATGAAGCAGAGAAGATTTCAGCACTTCTGCCATGAAATTCTGCCAAACTTTCAGACTTAGGTTGAGACCAATTTAAATAAATTAAGTGAAGGAAACAGAATATGCTGCTTACCTTCATCCACTCATTTCCTTATTCACTCATTCATCTATATATGCTACATTCATTCCTGTACTCTTCCATCCATTGGTCCACCTGGGTATTTAACATTTACTAAGCCCTTGTTGTTTTCCAGGTATTGTAGATACAAAGATGAACAAGCCAAAATTTCTGACCTGAAAGAATTCCTATCACATTAAAACAGAAAATACTAATTTATTTTTGTATAAAATAATTATAGAGAACCAATTATGTTTCTGTCAGGACCCTAGTCTCTGGAATAGAATGCCGATTATGATAAACCTGTTATCTGACCTCATGGAACCAACACTTTAGTAAGGGAGAGAGATTTTAAAAAGCAAACCAAAAAGTAGTAAATACTAGTTGTGATCTGTGCCTTGAAAACAAAAACCAGCCAGAGAATAATGGAGGAGGGGTTTCTTTAGACCAGATGCTTAGCGAAGGCCTCCTTGAGAAGGTGAGTACATTTAGTCTGAGTCTTGAAGGATGAGTAGTTGCTAAACATGCACAGAAAGGGAAGAAAGAGCAGGCTGTGTAGAGGGAATAACAAAATCAACAATGTCCCTGATGCGGGAAATAGCTCAGCGTGTCCTAGGAATTGAAAAGCAAACAAACAAAAGGTCAAGATGTATGCGGGGTAACGAGAAAAGGGAACAGCTCATGCTGCCTCTGGTGGACCACAGCAGGGCACCTGTAATTATTCTAGGGGCCGAGAGGGGTCTATGAAAGGTGTTAAGCAGGCTGGTGGCGTAATCGCTGCTATTGCCTCATGTTGAATAGATTAGAAGGTTGCAGGAGACACCTGCTAGGATGCTACAGGAGAAGTTTCGGTGAGAGATAATATAGGCTTGGACTAAAAATGGGGAAAGGTGCAGATCCAAGATATAATTTGGAGCCTAAACCTGCAGCTTTCTTGCCAGATTGGATGAGGTGTGCAGAAGGGGTGATGAAAAGGAGATTCAAAGATGACTTTCATAATCCTGGAATGGCCAACACGCAGATGTAGGTGTCAGGGTTCCATTTATTTAGTGGTTGGGTCGGGGAGGGTGTTGAATCAATCATCCCACTGACATGCTAATTTGAGATGGCAGTGAGACAACCAAGTAGAGACAAAAGCATGCAGTCAGATGGATGAGGCTGGAGCTCAGCAAAGCCTGAGCTGAAGAGTCACGTTGGATCGGGAATCATCAACGCCGATAGCCTGTCCTGGGTGCAGTGACAGAGGACAAGTAAGCCAGTGGAGCAGAGGAGAGAACAGCGCCCAGCTGCAAACCCTGAGGCAGAGGAAAGTTACAGAGGAAGTAGGAAGAGCCCAAGAAGGAGCTAGAAAACGAAAGCAAATGAGATGGAAGAAAGCCCAAACTGGAGGTGCTGAGGTGCTGATGGGGAAGCCAGGAGAGAAGAGGGTTTCAGGAACGGGGAGAGGTCACCTGTGAGGGACAAAGGTGCCTGGCCTTGCCAGTTGGAAACACATAGGCTTCCTGGGGTGCTGCTAGCAAGCAGTTTCCTGTGTCTGTCACGCAGAGGTAGCTGCGATGGAAAGGGTTGGTGCCCACGTGCAGGCTAATTTACAAGCAGTGATATATGTAGAAAAGTTTAGAGTTTCTAGGTGATGCATGATGTGCTCCCTCAAGATAGCCGGTACTTGTCAGGCAGCATCAGTGGAGGCATAGCATCTAGAATGAGGGAGGTGATGCTCTGTCCTGCTTGTTCTGTCACATTCTGTTTCCCTGAGCTTGGAGAGGAACAATAACCACCCGGGGTTGTTGAGAGGAATGACTAGGATTGGAGGCAAGCTGTCCTGTGAGGACATGCACCACGGTGAAAATAAAGAAGTGAGAGTGTTTATCCCAAAGAAAAGACCACTTAGAAAATATAATTGGTTCCTTCAAAAAGCTTAAGGACTTTTAAAGAAAACCAATCATGTGAAAAATAAGGAAGGCACCCTGTGTAGCCCCAGAAGGCTGATGGGAGTAAATTACATGGTGAAGATATCAGCTTAATATAGGAGGACTTGTCTTAATGATCAGAGCTGCCCAACACAGCGGCTGAAAACTACAGCCAGCCGGCCAATCTGCCCTGCCACGTATTTTTGTTGGTGTAGAGAGCTAAGAATGATTTTAATATTTTGTAATGGTTGGGAAAAAGCAAAGGAAGAATAATATTTTACAGCACATAAAAATTATACGGAATTCAAATTTCAGTGTCCATAAGTAATGTTTTCTGAGAACACACCTACATCCATTTGCTTACATGTTATTTATGGCAGCTTTGCACTATAATTGCAGAGTTGAGTACTTGTGACGGAAGCCATACCATCTGAAAAGCCTGAAATATATTTACAATCTGACCCTTTCCTGAAAGTTTGTTAACCTCTTTTCTTAGCAGTGGTTCTCAGAATCACCTGGAAGCTGGTTAAAACCCAGTTTGCTGGACCCACCCTCAGAATCCCTAACTCAGCAGCTTTGAAGTGGGCCAAGAATTTGCACCAAGTCTCCAAGGGATGCTGGTGCCTTTGATCCAGGGACCACACTGCTCAAGAGGCACTCATCACAGGAGTAGTCAACTCATCTCCATGGAGCATGTGTTCCCCGCAAGCCCATACTCTTCCTGAGGGTAGGAACTTCAATTCTGTTTTTTTCCACAATGGGACAATGCTGGAGACTTCCTAAGTATTTGTTGAATGAATTAACGAATCTGTTAATTATTTTGACTTTTTGATCTTTGGGGACTTTCTAATTTCCTCTGATTGCAGGGGAAGTGCTCTAGGAAGGAAGATCCAAAGGAAAGGAGAAAGGAAAAAAGAGAAGAAAAGAAGGGGGAAAGGGAAGGAGCTCTCTTCACAAAACAAGACTTTTTGGTAGTGCCTAGGGGTATCCTTGTGCCTCTGCTTCAGTGTTCAAAGGTATATAATATTCTCTTCGGCTTTCCCAGTCACTTTGAATGAGGGAGATTGTAGGCAGGAGGGTAGACTGCATATAACACTCCTCATTCCAAGGACCCATCCCATGGCATAATGATGCTTTGTGTCTCCATAATGACCTTTGGATTCTGAAGGTATTATATATGCATATCTAATTTTAATGATCTGATGTATTTCTCCCAATCTTTTTTGTAGACATTTTATTTTTGTATTAAGATTGTGTTCCACGGATAATTTTATGTCCTTTTAAATTTAACATTCACTCAAAATATTTTTCCTATGACATTATAAATTCTATATAATATCCTTTTTATACAGAATATTGTCTCATGTGTACATACCATAATCAATTTAGCTATACCCCTACTGTTAGATATCTATGTTTCTCCTGCTACTCATGCTTTTCCTGGTTGTTTTGCTATTATAATCTTCATTGCCTTGTGAACCATTATTAGTCAATTCTCCTTCTGATTTTGAAAATTATTCTTTAGAATAGAGTTTCACAAAAAAAGGCTATCAAAAAGACATAGAAGAAATAAAATGTTAAAGTCATAAGGGACTACCTTGCTGCAACTCTGTACAAGTAAATAAGAAAAAAATAGATAAAATAGGTATTATGGAAAAAACACAACTTACCAAAAATAATACTTACAAAGACAGAAAGTTTGAACTAACCATTTTTCTTAGAGAAAATAATGAATGCTAAAGAACTCCCCTACAATAAAAGCACCAGCCCTGAATATTTTTTCATAGGAATTCTATCACATTTGCAAAAATCAAGAATCCCAACTGCTCCTGAAACTATGTTACAGCACAGAAAAGCAAAGAAAATCCTCCAGTTCTTTTCTATAAAGAATGTGTCATTAAAACCAAAAACTAACTGCATCAAAAAAAGAAGACAGATCAATCTTACTAAAGAATATCAAAGAGTGCCAGGTGCAGTGGCAGGTACCTGTTGTCCCAGCTACTCAGGAGGCTGATGTGAGAGGATCACTTGAGCCCAGAGATAGTGCACTGTAAACGTACTTGTGAATAGCCACTGCACTCCAGTCTGGAAAATGTAATGAGACCTCATATCTTCAAAAAGTATATACATATATCAAATAAAGCATTAGTAAACAGAATCTGTCAGCATAAACAAATAAACAACTAAAAAGCAAAAAACAACAGTGGTTTTCCTGGCATGTTGCATCCAGGAATGCAAAGATGGTTCAACACTAGGAAATCTCTTAATAGAACCCATCATTATAGCTAAGGAGGGAAAAAAATGACATACTTATCTTCCATTTACTAACTATATCTCAAATTCACCACTCATCTATGTAAAAATTATTCAACAAAATAAGAGCTGACAGTTAATGCTGCATGATTATATTATGATTGCACACACACATACGTAAATGTCAACTCAAAAGCCAGCATCCTACTTAATAGTGAACTAAGAAACACTAGAGGCTTTATCTCTAAACTTAGAAACAACACAAGATATCTAAAATCTCTATTAGTTTTTACCACTGTTTCAGTAATTAACCAATGTAAATAGACAAAAACAATGAAACTAGAGGTTAAGAATTGAATAATAAAAATAAGACTTTATCATTTAGGTTGAGAACCAAAAGAATCAACTTAAAACTACTGTGAACCATGAGAATTTAGTAATTAACAACTCAATATATGCAAATTAATAACCTTTATATATTAAATACAAAGACAGTTAAAAGACATGGTAAAAGAGAAATATGTTACCAAGCACAAGCTTAAATATAAAACATCTATAAGAATAACCTTCTGAAAGATACAGAAGTAGTCACTCCAGTTCAGGTGACAGAGTGAGACTCTGTCTCAAAAAATAAAAATAAAATTAGAAAAATAAAATAAAATAAAATTGTGTGTATATATATATACCCTTTGGCCCAGCAAAAGACAAAAGGGTGTTTAGAGAGAGATATATAAGTAACTCATATATATATATATATATATATATATACACATACACATATAGAATTTAAATAAGAAATTATGTAAGGTTGTTGAGAGCCAAGATTTTCAGCATAAAAAAGAGACATAATATCTAAAAACTAACAACCCAGTAATTCTAAATTTGAATTTGAAATACTAGTGTGAATTCATGTTTTATTTCCTAGCTCTGTACACTAGAAAGGTCTACTGAAAAATGACCAACCCAGTAGCAATGAGCACCCTACCACTCAAACTGTGGTCTCTGAATAGCATTTCACAGTGAAAGAGAGCAAGACTCCTTGAAAAAATGCCTCATCCTAGAAAATGTACGAGATAAACCTGGAATACCATATTATACATAAAGTGCAAGCAGTTGTCCCTGTGATTCTGGCTAGAAGACACAGGAGCCAATTAAGTAATTTGAGCTTCTAAAAGAATATGGATAGAAACATCAAATATTCAAAAACACAAGGTCATTGTGTTAGTTTCTTATTGCTCTTATCACAAATTATCACAAACTTTGTGGCTTAGCAAACCATCAATTTATTATTGTACAGTTCTGGAGGTCAGAACTCCAAAATGGGTGTGCCTGGCATTGTTCCTTCCAGAGGATCTAGGGGACAATTCATGTTTTTGCCTTTTCCAGCTTCTAGATGCTGCCCACATTCCTTGGCTCATGGCTCATACCACCGAGACTTCTGCTCTGTCCTCACATCCTCTGTGACTCAGACCCTTTTGTCTCCCTCTTCAGCTGTCCTTTGTGATAACACTGGGCCAGGAGGAGAATCCAAGATCATCTCCTCATCTCAAGATCCTTGACTTGATCACTTCTGCAGAGTGCCTTTGCCATGTAAGGTGACATTGCTTCTGGGGATTAAGTTGTGCACATCAGGGGCTATTATTCTGGCAACCATCGTCATCATTCCGAGCTGCTACGGAACCAACTCATTATTCTGAAAATTGGTAAATAAAAGACAGGATGAAGTATTTATCCTGCCTTTTTCTCTACAAGCTCTGCCTCAGAGTTGTCAAATAGTTAATGAAAGAAAGTTTCTTTTTAAATAAATAGTCTAGCTAATAAGTTATGAGAGAAGGAAAGATCAGAATATCACCATTATGCAACCCTAATGAAGTAACATATCTAACAATGGTCATCAATAACTGCTAAAACCGTTTAATGGAAAGCTCTCGGTAAACTTTATATTAATTGGCTCACCTGGATGCACCGGCCAATTTTAACATCACAAAGGGAGAGACAACCAGGTATCATATGCCCCCCATGGAAGCATACAACAGTACTTTTGAGGTTTTCTTACCAAAAAATAAACCTGGGTATGAAAAGCCCCCTAGTGCTAACCACCAGTCTGTAAGTAATACAGGAAAGCAGCAAAATACACAATGTGGGAAAACTATGGTACAAACAACCCAATATCTTAAACAAATAGATTGCAAGGAAACATAAAAAGGGAAGAGGAACAGAAAGTGAAGACATTTAAGAGGCATATCAACCTAATCCAATGCATGGATCTTGTTTGAATTTTTATTGAACAAACCTGGCATAAAAAGTATTTAGAAATAATCAGAGAATTTTGAACACTGATAGGATACCTGATGGTATCAAGGAATTGTGATTTTTCTTAGGTGATAATAAGATGGTGGTTATTTTTTAAATTCCATGTCTTTTTTTTATCTTTTTTTCAGGGTCTCCAGCTTGCAGAAAATTCCATGTCTTTTAAGGATATGTGCTGAAATATTTAGAGAAGAAATGATATGATGTCTTAGATTTGCTTCAAAATAATCCAGTTGTGGAGAGATGGCTAGGTATATTAAAATAAGGTTGGCCATAAATTAAGAATTGTAGAAGCTAGAGGTTGGGTACATGGGAGTTTATTATTCTCTTCTATTCTTGTATTGGTTTGAAATTTCTCATAATGACAAGTTTAAAAATAATAATAATAAACAATATGCACCCAGAAATAAAATTACTGGGTATGAGTGTTTCCAAGGCATTTAAAATGTATTGTCAAATTGCTTTCCACAAAGGCTGTAGCAATTTATAGTTCCACTAGTAGCAAATGAGAATGCTGAGGATATAATATTTTAAAGAATATATAATCACTTGGATAAACGGAGGAACACATATTTCTCAGTTGTCCATG